>NC_000003.12:83343333-83646363 GCF_000001405.40 Homo sapiens
TATATTTACATTATATATGTATATATGCACAGAGTTTCACAAAGGATGGTGACTTCAGCAGAAGTTTTATCATAAAATGAAATGTCATAAAAGAAAATAAAAAGATACCCCTTTCCCAAAATAAAAAATGAAAAGTTGTCCTTTATGTTTTCAACATAAAAATAAGCCTCAGTTTCTCACATCGACACATATAAACACTGTAGTACATTGCAGCTGCTTGGGAATCTGTAAGAAAATAAATAAATAAATAAATAAATAAATAACAGCTATTTTTAATGAAATAAGTTGCCAGATAGTCATGACTCTTGATAGTGCTTACAAGGAAGAGATTTTCTTTCCTATTTAAGCATGAAAAAAGAAGGCAGGCATGCTTAATGGCTTTTTAGGGTTGATAGTTTGTTTCAAATGTGCTCCACAAAATGTTGGCTTTGAAGATGATTCTTTTTAACAGTCTCAGACTGAGATTTTGGAATTCTTATTTTTGGTATGATTTTTGCACAATTAAAGGATATACATATAAAATTTGTAAGGAAATAAAGACTAATCCATCTGAAAACCAAAGAAAAGTCCTAATAAAACAATACAAAAACAAATATGATATCTTTGTTTAAAACATTATCTAGTATTAGCAGTATAAAGAATAAATAAAGCCAAATATTCAAAACTTTCTCTTGATCTACTGGATTTTAAATTTCAAAGAGATATTTGCAATGCCCAATGGTAGGATCTCAGAGTTATAAGAAACCTATTTTTGTCAAAGTTCTTTTTATATTCTTTATGAATTTCCTTAAAGACAAAACACTTTATCATTTGCCAATAGCTTTAAAGAAAATAAAGTATCAGAATAAAGCAATTAACTGTGGACAACAAGACTTAAAATGATCATGGCTAAAGACACAATTGACAAGGAAATATGGCTGTTTATGTGGCATAATTAGCCATAATTATGACTTATAACCTATATCAAGACATATTAGAATTGTAGGAATCTCATATAATTCTGGAACACATATTAATAGCATATTCATGCAATTATAATACAAATAAAGTTTACACATCATTTCTTATTTAATAATGTTTAATAATACTTCCTATATAATTTAACATATCAAATAAGCCTGTTCATTATTTCTTCAGATATTTCAAGGACTTGGGACATCCCAAAGTTAGCTTCAGATCAAAAAGACTAAATATAGAATTTGAAATTTGATTTTAAGAAGCCTCTCAAATATGTCAAGGGTTTAAAACACTTTGTGTTAGCAGCAGCAAATCCATATGAGTCTGCAGCAACTCAATTCTTGGCTCCTCAAAGGAAATAATTTGCCCAAGGAGCATAAGGCAGAGTGAGAGATCAAGGCATGTTTTTGAGCAGGAGTGAAAGTTTATTAAAAAGTATTAGAGCAGAAATGAAGGGAAGTAAAGTACACTTGGAAAAGGGCCGAGCGGGCAACTTTAAAGTTCCAAGTGTGTTATTTAACTTTTTACTTGTGGTTTTATGTATTGCCATGGCACTGGGATTTGCTAGTTTCTTCTCTCCCGATTCTTCCCTTGGAGTGGGCTTTTTGAATGTGCGGTGATCTGTCTGCACTTGGGAGGGCCCACGTGCACAGTGTGTTTACTTAAGTTGTAAATGCACTCAAATGCATGCTCACTTGAGGTGATTTTCCCTTACCAGTCGAGTGTTCCTAGAGGAAGGTGATAAAGGAAAACTTCAGCCTAATTAAATGTAAAGGAGTTTAATTGAGAAAAGAACAATTCACCAATCAGGCAACCTTGCGAGCCAGAGTAGGCTTAGAGACTCCAGCACAGCCATGTGGTAGAAGAAAATTCATGGGCAGAAAAAGGAAAGTGACATATAAAAAACAGAAGTGAGATACAGAAACATCTAGATTGGTTACAGCTCGGTGTTTGCCTTATTTGAACACAGTTCAAATAGTTGGCTACATACAACTGGCCTAAACTCGGTAATTGGCACAAATGTAGGCACAGTCTGTTTGTACCTCCACTTGTTATAGTTCACAATGTGCAGAAAAACATTTAAGTCAAACTTAAAATATGTAAGGAGACTGCTTTAGGCTAAGCTTGATTTAACAATGGTCATATACCAGTTAAACTCCACCATTTTGCCTCTTAGTGCACGTGCTTCAGCCTGCTCACCCAGCTCCTGAGATCTTATCAAGAAGTCGTTGCTCATCAGCTTCATATGTTTTCTATCTATTGGAAGATTGCTGTGCCCTGGTGCCAGCTGTAACCAATTATTATTTTACAGAAACAGTTTAACAACCTCCTGACCATCACCTGGTGCTCACCTGACACTCCTGGTGGAGGGACATTTGTTGCCTGCTTATGTCCTCCTAGCTTGAACACTTGGTCAAAATGGGATCACAGGTCACTGCAAAATAATAGTCATTCATTTAGCAGAGGTGAGAATTAAAAAATTTTTAAAAGCAAAAACCTTTCTCATTAATATGGTTTGGCTGTGTCCCCACCCATATTTTATCTTGAACTGTAACTCCCGCAATTCCCATGTGTCTTTCTTGTACTGTTCATGTGAGAGTGAATATGTCTCATGACATCTGATGTCTTTAAAAAGAGAAGTTCTCCAGCACAAGTTCTCTCTCTTTGCCTTCTGCCATCCATGTAAGATATGACTTTCTCCTCCTTGCCTTCTGCCATGATTGCGAGGCTTCCTCAGCCTTGTGGAACTGTAAGTCCATTAAACTTCTTTTTTTTCCCCAGTCTAGGGTATGTCTTTATCAGCAGCGTGAAAATGGACTAACACAGTAAATTAGTACAAGTAGAGTGGGGTGCTGCTAAAAAGATACCCAAAAATGTGGAAGTGACTTTGGAACTCAGTAACCGGTAGAGTTTGGAACAGTTTGGAGGGCTCAGAAGAAGATAGAAAAATGTGGGAAAGTTTGGAACTCCCTAGAGACTTGTTTAATGGCTTTGACCAAAATGCTGATAATGATATGGACAACGAAATCCAGGCTGAGGCGGCCTTAGATGAAGATGAGGAAATTGTTGGGAACTGGAGCAAAGGAAACTCTTGTCATGTTGTAGCAAAGAGACTGACAGCATTTTTCCACTGCCCTAGATATTTGTGAAAATTTGAACTTAAGAGAGATGATTTACAGTATCTGACAGAAGAAATTTCTAAACAGCAAAGCATTCAAGAGATGACTTGGGTGCTCTTAAAGGCATTCAGTTTTAAAAGGGAAATAGAGCATAAAAGTTTAAAAAATTTGCAGCCTGACAATGTGATAGAAAAGAAAATCCCATTTTTCTGAGGAGAAATTCAAGCTGGCTGCAGAAATTTGCATAAGCAATAAGAAGATGAATGTTAATCCCCAAGACAATGGGGAAATTATCTCCAGGGCACATCAGAGACCTTTGCAGCAGACCCTCCCATTACAAGCCTGGAGGTTTAGGAGAAAAAAAATGGTTTTGTGGTCCAGGACCAGGGTCCCTATACTGTGTTCAGTCTAGGGACTTTGTGCCCTGTGTCCCAGTCTCTCCAGACATGACTGAAAGGGGCCAAGATAAAGCTCAGGCTGTGGCTTCAAAGGGTGAAAGCCCCAAGCCTCGGCAGCTTCCATGTGGTGTTGAGCCTGTGAGTGCACAGAAGTCAAGAATTCAGGTTTGGGAACCTCCATCTAGATTTCAGAAGATGTGTGGAAATGGCTGAATGTCCAGGCAGAAACTTGCTATAGGGGCAGGGCCCTCCGGGAGAACCTCCACTGGGGCAGTGCAGAAGGGAAGTGTGGGGTTGGAACACCCACACGGAGCCCCTACCGGGGAACCGCCTAGTGGAGCTGTAAGAAGAGGGCCACCATCCTCCAGACCCCAGAATGGTAAATCCACCAATGGCTTGCAACGTGCACCTGGAACAGACACAGACTCTCAATTCCAGCCAGTGAAAGCAGCCAGGGGTGGAGCTTCCCAAGGCCATGGGAGCCTACCTCTTGCATTAGCATGATGTGGACATGAGACATGGAGTCAAAGGAGATTATTTTGGAGCTTTAAGATTTGACTGCCCTGCTGGATTTTGGACTTGCATGGGGCCTGTAGTCTCTTTGTTTTGGCAAATTTCTCTCATTTGGAACAGCTGTATTTACCCAATACTTGTACCCCCTTGTATCTAGGAAGTAACTGGCTTGCTTTTGATTCTACAGGCTCAAAGGTGGAACGGACTTACCTTGTCTCAGATGAGACTTTGGAATGTAGGCTTTTGAGTTAATGATGAAAAGAATTAAGATTTGGGGTACTGTTGGGAAGGCATGATTTGTTTTGAAATGTGAGCACATGAGATTTCGGAGGGGCCAGAGGTGGAATTATATGGTTTGGCTGTGTCCCTACCCAAATCTCATCTTGATTTGTAACTCACACAATTCCCATGTGTCTTAGGAGGGACCCAGTGGGAGGTAATTGAATCATGGGGTTGGGTCATTTTGTTCTGTTCTCATGATAGTAATTTATTGTCATGAGATCTGATGGATTTAAAGAGGGGAGTTCCCCTGCACAAGCTCTCTCTCTTTGCCTGCTGCCGTTCATGCAATAAGTGACTTGCTCCTCTCTCCTTTCGACCATGACTGTGAGGCTTCCCTAGCCATGTGGAGCTCTAAGTCCATTAAACCTCTTTTTCTCCCCAGTCTTGGTTATGTCTTTATCAGCAGCATGAAAATGGACTAATACATTCTTTGATACAGAGGAGTCAGTTTTCAAATAATTAAAAGATCTTAAAAAGACAGCATAAGGCAACTTTTTTTTTCTCTCTCTCTCCTCTCTCTTTTTTAGTTTACTCAAAAAGTGAACAATAATTTCTTACTCTTTATTATCAATATTACACAGAAATCTTATGTAAAAGAGAGAAACAAATATTACTTTTGTCAGTGTACTATCGATACTAAAGTTAATTTTGATAAAATCTAATAATTCCAACCTCAGTCAGATTTGGACACACAAGATATCCATAAATCTTTTATAACCTCTAATAATTTTTCATTCTCATTTTACCCCAACTCTTTAATAATCATTTAGTTTAATCTGTATCATTTTTTCTTCACTTATTTTAAAACATCCTTTAAATAATTTTTATCTAGACAAAACTATGTGTTTTTTCAACAAAATCATGTTCTCGTAGCTTATAACATCATACTTTTCTTGTACACACTATAAAAAATTGTCTCTCTTATGTCTAATAGTTTTAACTACATATATTAATTATAATTTTTATTGCTAGTAATCCTAATTTCTAGTCAAAAACCTAGAGAGTAAGCAATTTTCACTGCTATGTACCAAAACATTTTATGAATTCATATGTAATAATTTCTAGAAACATAGGCTTTTTTAATATAACAATTTATGAATATGGAACAGGATAAGTTTACTAACAAACCCAAATATCTTTTGTTTCTGTGAAATAAAAAGCCAAAAGCATATCAGCTTGAATTTATATTTAATAATTAATGTTTTAACATTATATCTTATTTGGTTATTATCTAGATTTTTTTTAAATGAATAGCCATTATTTAATTTGACTTAGGCCTAGTGACCAAAGTGATTTGGACTAAAGTTACATAAACTTAAAAGGCATTTGGGCTTATTTGTTTAATTTACAAGTGCTCATTATTTTAATTCAATTTGGTACCATGAAGACAATATAAAAACATCAACATGTACAAATGTGTATGTAAAATGCCAACCAATATAAATAAACAATTAATAGCTTTGATTTTAAAATTTTAGCCATGAGACAAATAAAATTCACTAGCTTAAAAGGACAATTGAATTCAAATTATGCCCTGTGAATGAAACAAGTAAGAGTTTATCTGTCTTACATGGCTAAAACCATTTATCAAGTTCAATTTACATCTTAAAAGCACAGAGAAATAATGCAACTTTTTTTTCCTTAATAGAGAGTTAAGGGTGTGTCACTTAGATGAGACGTAGAGGAAGATTAAAAATGGATGACAAGGTAATATAAAATCATAGTAATTTATTGCAGGATTATACAGAGGAGCCTAGGAAAAACAATTTCAGAAGCGCTTTCAAAATAACTGGCTAAATGTCAAAAGGTTATATTTTGGAGACCAATTTTGTTATATAAGTGGCTTTTGAATTTAGTTTCTGTTATACTTATTAACTGGATTACTGAGCTCAGGGTGAACTCACAAATGAATTGAGCATTTGCAGGTCACAACGCCTAACATTTATACATATAAAAGGCAGACACAGCTGGAAAGTGGAGCACCTAGAACTTGAGAAAGAAAGAACCTCATTCATACACTAAATCCCAGGTCCCTCAGAACCAAGGCGAAAGCCCAAGATGGAAATGCTATGAGACTACAGAGCTGCACAATGCTGTCACAGTGCACCTCACTGTCAGGATATCCCCCTAATTGGTGGGAGATCCAATACCAACCCGCCCACTCTGTTACCAGCCTGTCCCCCATGGGAGCTGAATCTTTTGATGGTGAGTTCTCCCACAGCCTCCGAGTGTCCAAATTGTACCCATTGTCAGGTCATGGCCCAAGCTCTGAGATTCCCCTGACCAACCTAGAAAACAACTTTTCTGTTGCCAGTTTCCCATTTACCATCAGTTTTTTGTTTGACTAAGTCAGAAATCTTAGGCTTTTCTTATCCTGATGTATGAAGAAATGAATAGCCCCCTGCAATGATAACTCTTCACTGAAACTTTTGTTTGTCACTTTTAAAATTGCAGCCAGTAACTCATCAGTTATCACACGCCCAAAAGTTAAATGTTCTCTCACAATATGAAGTTACTCTTGGCACCCCCAAATGTCAAAGAGATCAGGGTACTCAATGCAAAAAGAAAGCAGAGTTTCAGACTTAAGAGGGACTTGCCCACAACCCTTGGTACATGAGGAAGACAGATGATCCCAAAAAAGGGGGATTTAGTTGTGCCTTCTCAATGTTCTTCAAGGAGTCCCATGGCCGATAATAGTCTCCTTCGGACCTGTTCATATGACAGCTAGAACTGTTATGTTTCCTCTTATATTGAAGGGCTTCATATCAAGGGAACTGGATAAAGGATCAAAGGTGGTAAATGAAGGAGGAGAAAGAACGAGTTTCAGAGGATCCAGTTTCAGGAGATGTTAAGTTTTCTTAAAAAGGCCAATAAAGGTCTCGAGAAAAAGTGATTCTGTTGACTGAGAAGTTTCTACAGAAAAAAGCAAAATCCAACACAGAAAAATAGAGAGGTCTTAAATATATATGTACATATATATAGCTTGAATATGAATTATGAATTAAGCCAACTTTTGATTATAGTGTTCTTTAAATAAATTATTTTTGCCTTAGCCAAGGGAACAGTGATGGCAGGAGCACCACTCTACCGGCTGCTGTCTTGGAAGGGCCCACTGTGCTTGCTCCCAGTTCCCAGTGGCAGCAGGAAGCATATCTCTCTGTCCCAGTAGAGAAAGCAAGATAAATGAAAAAAAAAAAAAAAAAAAAAAAAAAAAGGAAAAGAAAAAAATTGCTAGTATGACCTAAATATAAACCTAAATTTTAACCAAAGGCATATCTTTAAATGACTGAAAACTGAAACAAAAAAGCATGCATAAGAGCAAAACCAAGAAGCCATTGATTACTTTAACAAAAGCCTCCAAAAAGAAAGCAAAAACCTGCAACCCTTTCAAGACCCAGAAAACTCCCAATGACAGCTTAAAGAAAGGAAATTTTCACAAGCTGCAAATGGAGTAGAACCCACATCTCTGTATGGCTGTATTCTCTATGGTCCTCACCTCTTAACTAGCCATCTGCACACAAAGGCCCAACAACAACCTGTGTTGGCCCCAAATCCTAGCCATTAGATCATAGACTGAAGTGCTTTTTTTTGGTAAATCCCATAGCAGGCAGTTTGAGTGCTCAAAGGATTTGGGCTTTGATTTAAATCTAAATTGTGCTTTTAAATTCTTGCTGAGGGAGTTTCTAATTCTATATTACTTTCATGTCCTTTATAGGTATCAATTAGATAGCCGTTTAAGACATGGGCACTCTAAAAACTTTTTTTTCCTTTTTAACATAACCAATTTATGTATTTTATAAGCAACTCAAGCCAATAAGGCATTTTTTTTAATGGAAAGCCCCAGAGGTAACTTTCTAGGTTTAGAATACATGGACATTTTAAAAAATGAGTGCAGAAGATGCATCCACCATGATAAAAGCACACCAGAATTACTAAGCCTAAGACCTAGTCCATACAAATGCTTTCATCCATTCATTTGAATTTAGAAAGGAAAAAAAATGAACAATGATTCTTACCATCTGTTCTTCCAGATTTACAGACAGACACCTAGGCACTCTGACTGGTAATTTTTTTAAAACCCTAAATAGGGTTTCCTTGACTGTGGCTTCCTAAAGATCAGAGATATTTTGAGTTTTCCTGATCACAACACAAAATCTGCAGAGGCCAAGGGAAAGCTTTACTCTGAAGGTTCACTGAAAATAAACTGATAATAAACAAATGAATAGCAGAAAAGACATACAGATTTATTCAATACTCATAGCACAGGGTTAGCTAACCGTTAGCTAATAACACAATGAAGTGTAGATCCCTATATACCCTTTTTTTACAGAGGAAGGGGAGATGAGGGTTGGAGGAGTAAATGATTTTCAGTAGAAATGAATGAACCCAAAGAATAATGACTTGGAATAAATTTTCTCTGAGCTCTGGAAGAGGTGATGGAAAGATAAAGGGCAGAAATTTACTGTGAATAATGATGATGTTATTATGTAGATAAAATCCCCCAGGTAATCTCTTGGGGCTGCCCTCAGAAAAATGGATAAAATGTCTCTTTGGGTGTACTGAGAACTCCCAGTCTCTTCTCTTTTTCAGTGGCTAATCTTTCCTAATTATTTGATGAAACTCATAAGAAAGAGGTCTTAAGAAAATTGCATTTCTTTTGGAAAGAAGTTTTCTTAGATAAGGAAATTCCAGAGAAAATGCCTACTGGTGCTTTGGGAAACACTATCAGGGAGACAGGGAAATCCGGATAGATCAAAGACAGACCTTGAGGCTGCACCTTTAGTACAGTATGTCAAAGTACCATATTTTAGGGTATTGTTTCCTGAACCCTAACAATAAGAAAGATTTTGGTGAATGATAGAACCTGGTGATAGTGGTTCCCACTTTAGCAAATGGATACAAAACCAAAAATAAATACAAGTTAATGTCCCTGATAAAGTTTTCATAAAGCATAATATGGAAATTTTTTAATGATTCAGAAGATAACATCAAATTGTCTAAGGTTTTCTTAAACTTTCTCTTTTTAATCCCAAAAAATTGTTACTATTCTAGATCACGTGAGGAAAATATTGAAAGACATTTACATAAACCAGAACATCAGAGCTATAATTTATTGACTGTTGTAAAAAGAAATAAATGTATTGACTAATTTTTAGATGACTGATTTCAAAATAATTCTGAGTTTTAAGATAATAAGAAATGATTGACTAATGTAATTATTAAAATATTTTATTAATTAAAAATATAGCCAACAGTAGCTTTTATTTACTCTAAAGTGTACAACCTTGATAAGAAAAAGACACCATATTAAAATTATTGAGAAAAAAGATAAAATGAATTTTCATCACCACACTTTAATCCAAATCGAACTGGTAATCTTTGCACTGCTTTATCCAGGTATTTAAAATCTATTTGCAACTTCCAAAAAGTAGACCTCAGGAAATGGAACGTAAGAACCATGACCCAGTTCTCTGACATCTTTCTGTGTAAAATTCTCAGACATTAAGAAAGAAAGAGGGTCTTCAAAATGGCAGCACTTTTTCTTGATATTATAGCTCTTGCCTTGCACCTCCTTGCATAGTACACACCTTTTAAAAGTAGTTAAATATTTAATAATTTGATTGTAGCAGCAAATTATTGGTTAATTTGACATGTATGTTGCTTTCTTCTCATCACTTTCTCTACCAGTGATCCACTCTATGTGTCTTTCTACACATCAAAAGACAAACTTTATTAATCCAGGCATTAAATACAGGCATTATTTCATTCTATACCACCAAATATGTAATCACCTGTTCTGATGTGCATCTGTTACTGTGAACCTTTTCATTAAGCTCCAGAAATGAGTAAATACTCAAAATATTGCCTTAGCATTATAAAAACATGAAACAAAACAAAAAAACAAGAAAAAATAAATAGACTTCTTGTTTTACCTCAGAAATGAAGAGAGATGGAAGAAAATAATTCTCATTTATACAGAGAAAAGAAAGTAAATGGGTACAAATTAATAACTGCTTATAGTCTGGGCATGGTGGCTCATGCCTGTAAGTCCAGCACTTTGGGAGGCTGGCCAGGAGGATTGATTGAGGCCAGAAGTTCAAGACAAGCCTAGCCAACATAGTGAGACCCCGTCTCTACAAAAATAAAAAATAAAAAAATTATCTTGGCATGATGGCACACAGCTGTAGTCCTAGATACTTGGGAGGCTGAGGTGGGAGGATCCCCTAAACCCCAGAGGCGGAGGCTGCAATGAGCTATGATTACAGAGCAAGACACTGTCTCTAAAAATATAAAAATAATAATTTATAAATACATTAGAAAATTCAGGTTCAAAGAAAAGCATAATACTGAAATATGGAGACACAGAATCTTAGCATTTACTTACCTAAAGCAAAGTCACAGACAAGATACAATCTGATAGAACATTAGACCACATCATAGATTTAATATTTTTTTCCTCCCTAAATTCAAACGTTGAAATCTAATTCTCAATATGATGATATTTGTAGGTGGGTCTTTGAGAGTTTAGGTCATGAGAATGTAGTCCTCATGAATGAGATTAGTGTTCTTTGTGTCATGCGTATCTGTGTGAAGAGACCACCAAACAGGCTTTGTGTGAGCAACAAGGCTGTTTATTTCACCTGGGTTCAGGCAGGCTGAGTCCAAAAAGAGTCAGGGAAGGGAAATAGGGGTGGGGCTGTTTTACAGGATTTGGGTACGTAGTGGAAAATTACAGTCAAGGGGGGTTTTTCTCTTACGGGCAGGGGCAGGGGTCACAAGGGGCTCAGTGAGGGAACCTCTGAGCCAGGAGAAGGAATTTCACAAGGTTAATCACTTAGTTAAGGTGGGGCAGGAACAAACCACAATGGTGGAATGTCATCAGTTAAGACAGGAACTGGCCATTTTCACTTCTTTGTAATTCCTCACTTGCTTCAGGACATCTGGATGTATATGTGCAAGTCACAGGGGATATGATGGCTTAGCTTGGGCTCAGAGGCCTGACATTCCTGTCTCCTTATATTAATAAGAAAAATAACATAAAATAGTGGTGAAGTGTTGGGGCAGTGAAAATTTTTGGGAGGTGGTATGGAGAAATATTGTGCAATGTTCCTCAGGGCTGCTTCGAGCAGGATTAGGAGTGGCATGGGAACCTAGAGTGGGAGAGATTAAACTGAAGGAAGATTTTGTGGCAAGGGTTGATATTGTGGGGTTGTTAGAAGAAACACTTGCTGTATAGAACCATTTGCCTTGTGTGGGAAGAGATTGATAGGTGGAAGTTTCAGTGGGGGAGTAGGTGGAAGTGACCGATGAGAAGGAGAAAAACTGACCATGAGGGATAGAAGTTGGAACGCTAGCTGCTTCTTTAGCTACCTTATCAGCATAAGCGTTGCTCTGAGCGATGGGATCTGACGCCTCTTGCAGTGAATGACTCCAGCTTCCTTTGGAAGTAAAGCAGCCTTAAGAAGAGTTTTTATTAAAGAGGCATTAATGATGGAGGACCCTTGTGTAGTGAGGAAACCTCTTTCTGCCCATATAACAGCATGGTGGTATAGGATATGGAAAGCATATTTAGAGTCAGTACAAATATTGATGCGTAGTCCCTTTGCAAGAGTGAGGGCTTGAGTTAAGGCAATGAGTTAGGCTAGCTGAGTGGTAGTGGAGGAGGGCAGAAAGTATATGTGTTAGGTGTGAGGAAGAAAATAGATTTTCGAAGTTACAAGAACTGTAGAGAGTGAGTTGAGCAGTTTGTGATTTTGAGGGCCTCTAAAAGTATTAAAGCAGCGGCAGCTGCCACAGACAGATATGAGGGCTAGGCTAAAACAGTAAGGTCAAGTTGTTTGGACAAAAAGGCTGCAGGGCGCGGTCCTGGCTCTTGCATAAGAACTCCGACTGCACAGCCCTGCACTTCAGCTGTATGTAATGAAAAGGGTGTGATGAGTTAGGGAGAGCTAGTGTGGGAGCTGTTTTTTAAGGAATAGAAAGGGGAGTGGGGAAGGATTTAGGATCTATGGGGTCAGCTAGGTTTATCTAGAACAGAATAATGGGTTGTGGAGGGAGGTATTGAGTATAGTAGAGTATATGGGTTTGGCACCACAGGGTGGACAGGCAAAATAATTTTGTTGATAAGGCACAGAAATAACTTACAGGTTAGTTCAGGAACTAACCTGTAAGGCTTGTCCGGTTTTTGGACAGATAAAATGGGGGAATTGTAAGGAGAGTTTATAGGCTTTAAAAGCCCGTGCTGTAACAGGCTAGTGATAACAGGCTTTAATCCTTTTAAAGTGTGCTGTGGGTTGGGATATTGACATTGAGTGGGGTAAAGGTGATTAGGTTTTAATGGGATAGTAATGGGCTTGTGATTGGTTGCCAGGGAGGGAGTAGAGGTGTCCCATACCTGTGGATTAAGTTGGGAGATACAAGGGGAGGATGCGAAGGAGGTTTTGAAGTGGGGAAAAGGGCAGCAATGAGGTGTGGCTGTAGCCTAGGAATAGTCAGGGAAGCAGATAATTTAGTTAAAATGTCTCTACCTAATAAGGGAACTGGGCAAGTGGGGATAACTAAAAAGGAGTGCAGAAAAGAATATTTTCCAAGTTGGCACCAGAGTTGGGGAGTTTTAGGAGGTTTAGAAGCCTGGTCAATACCCACAACAGTTACGGGGGCAAGGGAAACAGGCCATTGAAAAGAAGGTAATGTGGAGTGGGTAGCCTCCATATTGATTAAGAAGGGGATGGACTTATCCTCCACTGTAAGAGTTACCCAAAGTGTCTGTGATGGTCCAGGAGGCTTCCGAGGTGATCAGGCAACATCAGTCTTCAGCCGCTAAGCCAAGAAGATCTGGGAAGGAGTCAGTCAGAGCCTTGGGACAGCTGGACAGTCCAACTTCCAGTGGGGTCCCACACAGAGGGGACACAGCTTAGGAGGAATCCCAGGCTGAGGACATTCCTTGGCCCAGTGGCCAGATTTCCAGAACTTGAAGTAAGATCCTGGGGGAGGAGGTCCTGAAGGAACACCTCACCACTGTGGCTTAGGCATTTTGAAGTTCTTGTGTGCTGGAGATGTGGCTGGGGTTTCTCTCACAGCAGAGGCAAGTAATTGCAACTCTTCTCTATTATTGTACACCTTGAAGGTGAGGTTAATTAGTCCTGTTTTGGGGTTTGAGGGCCAGAATTTAATTTTTGGAGATTGGGAGAGATTGTGTAACAAAATGTATATTGAGAATAAGACAGCCTTCTGACCCTTCAGGGTCTAGGGATGTAAAGCGTCTAAGGGTTGCTGCCGAAGAGGCCATGAACTAAGCTGGGTTTTTATATTTGATGAAAAAGAGCCTAAACGCTAACTGATTTGGGAGAGGTCAGATAAAGAAAAAGGAGCATTAACCTTGACTATGCCTTTAGCTCCAGCCACCTCTTTAAGAGGAAATTGTTGGGCAGGTGGGGGAGGGCTAGTCGTGGAATGAAACTGTAAGCCAGACAGGGTGTGGGGAGAGGAGGTGATAGAAGGATTATGGGGTGGAGGGGCAGAAGCTGAGGAAGAATTGGAGCCTGATTCAGCCTGATGGGGAGTGACCTGAAGAGCAGTCTGGGGATGAGGGGAGAGGTCAGATGGGTCTGTAGAAAAGGAAGATTGAAAACACTCAGCAATGTTTGGGGTTGGGTCTGAGGGGCAGGTGGGAGGGAAAGAAGGAGGATTTGGGATGAGTCGCATTAGGAACAGAGACTAAGGAGGGACAGATGTGTAAAAGAATGCCTGGATGTCAGGCACCTCAGACCATTTGCCCATTTTATGACAAGAATTATCTAGATCTTGTAGGTTGGAAAAATTGAAAGTGCCATTTTCTGGCTATTTGGAACCACTGTCAAGTTTGTATTGGGGTCAAGCGGCATTGTAGAAGATAATAAGGCATTTGGGTTTTAGGTAAGATGTGAGTTGAAGAGGTTTTAAGTTATTGAGAACACAGGCTAAGGGAGAAGAAGGAGGAATGGAAGGTGTAAGTTTGCAATTCCTAATCATCTCTTTGCAATTGTACAGGCAGCAAGCTTCTGCCTGTACATCTAGGAATTTCCATACATTCTTTGAAATCTAGGCAGAGGTTCCCAAGCCCCAATTCTTGACTCCTGTGCACCCACAGGCCTAACACCACGTTTAAGCCACAAAGGTTTGGGGCTTGCACCCTGTGAAGCAAGCCTAAGCTGTATGTTGACCCCTTTTAGGCATTGCTGGAATGTAGCACACCAAGTTCCAAGACTGAAAGAAAAGGAGCAAGGCCTTGGACCCAGCCCACAAAACCATTTTTTCCTTCTACTCCTCCAGGCCTCTAATGGGAGGGACTGCCATGAAAACCTCTGACATGCCCTGGAGACATTTCCCCTGCTGTTTTGGCAATTAACATTTGGCCCCTTGTTACTTATGCAAATCTCTGCAGCCAGCTTTCTCCCCAGAAAATGGGTTTTTCTTTTCTATCTCATTGTGAGGCTGCAAATTTTCTGAACTTTTATGCTCTACTTCCGTTTTAAATATATGCAGGATGTGTACATAGACAAATACAAAACACCAATAAAACAACTCAAAGAACATACAGATAAAGAAAAAAATGATTAATGTGGTGTGATTTAAAAGAGCAGTAATTTTTTCTTCTAGATATTCACAAGTGCATTCTAAAGTTTATATAAAAAAATCAATGGAAAAGAACAGTGACACCAGAAATAAACTTACAGAAACTTAATTATCGATATTTTGACAAAAGAAAAAAGAAATTCAATGTAGAAAGTCTTGTTAACAAATGATACTAAAAAATTGAATGTCAATATACAAAAACAAAAATAAAAAATAAAGTTCAACAATACCTTACACAATATTATCAAAGTGAATTCAAAATGTACCCTATACTTAAATGTGAGATGTTGAATTCCAAAATTTATAGGAAAAAATTCATATGGGCTTGGGGTCAACTGTGAGGTTTTAGGCATAATGATAATAATACTACCTATAAAAGAAAAAAATATAAATTGAATGTTATTAAAAATTCATATTTTTGTCTTACAAAGACACAGTTATGAGAATGAGAAGTCAAAAATGAGGAGAAAGTAGTGAAAACTTTCATGTCTGATAAAGAATTTATATCAAGAGTAAAAAGCACTTAAATCTTAATGATGACCCTATAACTGCTAAAAATAAAGAAAAGTAACCCAGTAAAAAATTAGATTAGGCTGGGCATGGGGGCTCATGCCTGTAATCCCAGCACTTTGGGAGGCCGAAGTGGGTGGATCACCTGAGGTTGGGAGTTCAAGACAAGCCTCACCAACATGGAGAAACTCCATCTCTACTAAAAACACAAAATTAGCCGGGCATGGTGGCGCATGCCTATAAATAATCCCAGCTACTCGGGAGGCTGAGGCAGGAGAATCGCTTGAACCCAGGAGGTGGAGGTTGTGTTGAGCCGAGATTGTGCCACTGCTCTCCAGTCTGGACGACAAAAGCAAAACTTTACCTCAAAAAAAAAAAAAAATTAATTTAATGATTTGGACCAACAGAACATATAAAGATGGCTAATAAACACTTGAAAATATGTCCAACATTATTTCTCATTAGAACAATGCAAATTAAAACCACAGTGAGTTTACACAACTACTCAATTTTTTTTAAAGTTGGCGAAAATGCAAAACCTGAGAATACAAAATGCTAGGGAGGATGCAAAGCAACACTAATTTTTATTGATGGCATTGATAAATGTTGCAGACACTTTTGAAAACAGTTTGGCAGTTCCTTATAAAGTTAAACACAAGGAATACATGGCCCAGAAATAACATTCCTAGGTATGTCCACACTAAATCCCATAACTGAATTATCATGTAAGCTTTATTGACAACTGTGAAGAACTGTAAGCTACCACGATGTATTTCAACTAGTGAATAGGCAAATAAACCGTGGTACAACTATAAAATGGAAAGCTATTCAGCTAAAAGAGGATCATGCTATTGATTCATGTAATAGCATGAGTGAATTTCAGTGCATATTGCTAAATGAATGAAGTTAGACCCCAAAATTCACATATCATAGGATTTCATACATACTATATGTTGAAAAAGAAAGAAAAAGAAACTGTAGGGACTGGGAACATAGTAGCTGCCAAGGGTTGAAGAAAGAAAAGTATTTACTGTAAAGAGTAAACAGTGGGGAAGCTTTAGGGTGATGGAACTATTCTGGATGATACTGAGCTTGTGGAGGAATGATTTTATGCATTTATAGAAACCCTGAGATGGAACATCACAAACAGTAAACTTTAATGTTTGCAAACTCCAGGAGATATCAGCTATGATGTTGAGCCATTTGTGTTAGGAGTACAAACTGTAATGTAATTTCAATTATAAGTTTTATTCTTCTATTTTTCTACAACTGAAATTTTTGAAAAGGAATTTGATATAGACCAACACTTCACGCTGGGAGCAAACGTTCAGGCAAATAGAAAAATTAGATATGGAAATGTGATGTGCTTAAACCAATAAAATGTGAGATGTAGGGGAATGTAGCACTTTTAAGTGAAAGCATTTAAGAATTGCTTTGTGATTTTCATATCTATTCCTGCCATTATGATATTGGAATTGAAGGCTAGTAGGAGGGTGCCATAACATCAAACCAGCCTGAAATGATTGACAGTGTATTGATGGATGCCTTAAAAAATGTTTGGATATACAGAAGACTGTGGGTATAAAAAGAAAAAAAAAAGTTATGTTACAAAGTCACTAATAACTCAAGGTTGTTTATTATTACAGCATAATCCAGTGTACTTTTACTGATATAAAAAATTTGTATTTAATTTTGTAAATATCCAAGACCTGACATAAATTGGTTCTATTTTCAGCCTTCTATTAAAAACAGTATCTTGAATATTCTTATTAATACATTTCCCAGTGTCTTTCCCTGGAAGAATTTTTAATACCATTTTACATTGATAAACACTTTTATTTAAAATATTTCCAATATAATGCTTTCATCAGTATCTAAAATAGTAATACAAATAATGATGAGGAATATAAAATAGGAAAGATTACAAAATATATACTAAACATAATATGTTATATTCTCAAACCATTTAGAGATTGATTAACATGTTGCAAAATTTGTTATCATTTCTTAAATGTAGTTTTGTGCATTTATAAACAGTTGACCCTCAAACAATCTGAGTTTGAACTGCACATGTCCATTTATACTTGAGTTTTCTTCTACCCCTACTACTCCTGAGACAGAAAGACCAGCTCCTCCTCTTCCTCCTTCCCCTCAGCCTAATTAACATTGAAGGCAATGATTTACTCCACTTAATGCAGTGGATCCATATCATGATCCACTTTCACTTAACAAATAGTAAGTATACTTTATCTTTTTAATGATTTTCTTAACAACATTTTTGTTCCAGCTTAGTTTAATGTAAGTAAAATACATGTAACATACAAGATATGTGTTCATCTGCTATTTATGTTACTGATAAGGCTTTCAGACAACAGTAGGCTATTAATAGTTAACTTTTGGGGGATCAAAATTGTATGTGGATTTTTCATTGTCCAGAGAGGGGTGTCAGTGCCCCTAAGCCCCATGTTATTCCACAGTCAACTGTATATTCAATTTTTAAAAATAGGTTAACTTTTACACATATTATTTTGAAATATAGGGGTATGTACATGTTGACCAAAATTAGGTCATGAGAAATGATAATTTTCTACACATTTCAACAGAACTTGCTTTTATTCAATATTCTACTTCTTGTAAATGTAACAAATCTAAACGTCAAATTCCTACTGGCCTTCCTTTTGACAGCTTTTCTTAATTGTCTAGTGTTGGGAATAGGCCCCCCCAAAATCTGGCCACAAACTGGCCCCAAAACTGGCCATAAACAAAATCTCTGCAGCACTGTGACATGTCCGTGATGGCCATAACACCCATGCCGAAGGTTGCGGGTTTACCGGAATGAGGGCAAAGAACACCTGGCCCACCCAGGGTGGAAAACCACTTAAAGGTGTTCTTAAACCACAAACAATAGCATGAGTGATCTGTGCCTTAAGGACATGCTCCTGCTGCAGATAACAAGGCAGACTCATCTCTTTATGTCAGCTCATCCCTTTGTTTCCCCTAAGGAATACTTTTAGTTAATCTATAATCTATAGAAACAATGCGTATCACTGGCTTGCTGTTAATAAATACATAGGTAAATCTCTGTTCGAGGCTCTCAGTTCTGAAGGCTGTGAGAGCCCTGATTTCCCACTCCATGCCTCTATATTTCTGTGTGTGTGTCTTTAATTCCTCTAGCGCCACTGAGTTAGGGTCTTCCTGATTGAGCTGGTCTCGGCAGTCTAGGAAATAAATAATATATGTTAATAAAATAAATCTCATTTTCCACTATCATCACATTCTTCCTCCATTTGCCATAGCATTACTGCACAGTCTCCTGCTTAAGATGATTCACCTTACAATTTTTCAACTTTATAATGGTACAAAAGCAATACACATTTCGTAGACACTGTATTTCCATTTATTAATTTTGATCTTTTCAACACTTTATTGTAAGATAAAGATTGTGTTAGATTTTTTTCCAACTGTCGGCTAATATAAGTGTTCTGAGCACATTTACGGTGGGAGAGGCTATGTACAGTAGCTTAGGTATATTAAATACATTTTCAACTTACAATATTTTTAAGTTATGATGAGTTTATCAGGACATAACCCCATTGTAAGTCAAGCAGCATCTGTACCAAGTTTATTGTTTTTGCAAATAGTCCCAGAAAACAAATTTTTGATGGTCCCAGTTCAATAATGCCCTTCCTTGACTACTTCTCTAATATTTAACTCAGAATTAATCATGTATGCTTCTATGTTTACAACCAATAAAACAAAGCAAAACCAACTAGAAAGTATTTACGCATTTTTATGACTTCTTAAATATATAACTAAAAAGAAAGCAGGGGTCTATATACTTTCCAACTTGCATCCAGTGTTTTCACTTTATAGATGTTTAATAAGCATCTGGTTTACAAATTAATAACCGTTATTACTTTTACTTAGAATCAAATAAAAAGGAAAATAACTTTTAAGACATTAGCAAATGTTTGGAAATTGATCTGCTTTGCTAATGCTTTTAGTCTAAATTAACTTTTACAGAAAAATAATGAGCTTAATTTCTATTATAATTGAGAACAATTAAATAAAATATCATGCAAAGAGACTTTTAGCTACAATCATTACAAATACATCCATTTAACTCCTAGTCTTTTGCACTAGTCAGCTTGGGCTGACATAACAAAATACCATTGACCAGTAGATTAAACAACAGACACAGGTGTGGAAGCTGGAAGTTCAAGTCAGGGTGCAATCATTATTGGTTTCTTTCTGAGGCCTCTTCTTTTGGCTTGTAGACAGCTACCGTCTCACCATGTGATCACATAATATCTTCTTTTTGTTCACACTGGGAGCAAGAAAGCAAGCTCTCTGGTGATTTTTTTTTATAAGGACATTAATTCCGTCAAAAGGGCTCCACCTTCATGACCTTATCTAATTCTAATTACCTTCCAAAAGTCCCATCTCCAAATATCATAAAATTGGAAGTTAAGGCTGCAATATATAAATTTTGTGGGGGACATCAGTTTTCATCCCATATGCCTTTTTAGAGTTGTACTTTAAATTATATGAGATGAAATATAAATGAAAGAAATTTGTATCTACAGTATTGTTGCTTTTTTGCTTGCTCGCTTTATTCTTTTTTTTTTTTTTTTTTTTTTGACAAAATCTCACTCTGTCACCCAGGCTGGATTGCAGTGGCAGGCTCTTGGCTGACTGCAACCTCTGCCTCCCAGGTTCAAGCCATTGTCCTGCCTCAGCCTCCCAAGTAGCTGGAATTACGGGCCGTGCCATCATGCCTGGCAAATTTTTGTATTTTTAGTATATACAGGGTTTCACCACGATGTCCAGGCTGTTCTCGAACTCCTGACCTCAAGTGATCTTCCAGCTTTGGCCTCCCAAAGTGCTCAGATTACAGGTATGAGCCACCCTGCCCAGCTTGTTTCATTTTTTTGTTTGTTTCATTTTTTTTTTTAACTCCTGCCCCAAGTACTGGCTTTCAGGGTTTGCTCTTTTTATTGTCATTAGTCTCTCACCTTTATATATTTAAAATGTCAGTAGATTTCAAATAAGTTATGACAAGTATATTCAATATAAATATTTGTATTTCATTTTAAAAGTTTGCAATTGCATCCCATTGTTTCTGAAGAATTGCTAGGTAAATACGGCTTCAGCTATTGTTTAAGCAATGTGTCTTCACAGAAATACTGGAGGTAACAGGCAATTAGAACAGCAAAACTAATGTATTCATATAATTTATTTAAAATGTACACATTGCCCAAAGCCACTGGAACAATGTATGGAATGTAAGTTACAATACTTAAATGAAATCTTCCACCAGAGTGAAAAAAAAATACTTACAGGATTAGCATATATGGAAACAGTAGACCAAAAATAAAAGTAAAAGTCTACTCTGATACAATGTTCACTTTATCATAAAAGTAGTTAAATTTCAGAGATAGTTTATATGCAGAAGATTATTATTAAAAGATGGATGTAGATTTTCAGCAAAAGAAGTACAGGTAATCTTAATTTTTATTTATTTTACTTAAATATGATAAAACAAAATACTCACTGGTCAAATTATAAACAAACTATTAATCCTCTCGAATGTACTAGAAATTAATATAAACAGATTAAATACAATTTAATAAATCACTGAAATAACCCCAAATAGGCCGGGCGTGGTGCCTCACGCCTGTAATCTCAGCACTTTGGGAGGCCGAGGCAGGTTGATCACCGGAGGTCAGGAGTTGGAGACCAGCTTGACCAAAATGGTGCAACCCCGTCTCTACCAAAAAAAAATACAAAACATTAGCCGGGCAGTGTGGTGAATGCCTCTAATGCCAGTTACTTGGGAGGCTGAGGCAGGAGAATCGCTTGAACCTGGGAGGCGGAGTTTGCAGTGAACCAAGATCGCGCCATTGCACTCCAGCCTGGACAACAAGAGTGAAACTCCGTTTCAAGAAAACAAAAACAAACAAACAAACAAACAGATGGACTAACTTTAGAAAGAGAATGTCATAGAAAAATTGTTACTTAATATTTCCTAGGAGATCTTTTTGTAACATTTCTCACTAGAGTTTAATCTACTTCATACTTCTGTGTAACTACTTCAGAAACGTTACTTTTAAATTTCCACTAACAAAAGGCTCTGGCTTAATTAAAGCACCAATCTAATAAATTTTCAATAATAGAGTGACTTAGAACATTTTTTAACAAAAGTAATGTTTTAATGAGTTTATGAAATAACTTTATAATAGTTTGAATGATAAAAATATGTCCCAGTAGTAATACCTGGGACCAGTGAATGTTACCTTATTTGGAAAAAAGAGGCTTTGTGTATGTAATTCGTGAAGAATCCTAAGATAATGAGATGACTCTAGATTATCTGGGTGAGCCCTAACTTCAACAGCATTTTTTTTTTGAGTGAATCAGAGGTAGATATGCAAATTGAAAATGAAGACCCATTCACAGAGCAGGAGCTAATATGAAGCAAGAGACAAAGATTGAAGTGATGCGGCTCCCAGCCGAGAAACATCACTCACTGCCCGTAGCAACCAGAAGCTAAGAGAGAGACATAGAGCAGATTCTCCTCCCAAGCCTCTGATGAGAGTGTGGCTCTGCCGACACCTTGATTTTGAACCTCTCAAACCTAGGCTTTTGAGAGCACGTTTCTATTGCTTTAAACCATCAGATTTGTGGTGAGTTCATTTACAGCAGCCGTCAACTCTTTTTACTTATCTAAGTTCTTCATGTGGATCAAACATTGGAAAGTGTTGCAATTTATTCTTAATTATATTCTGAAATCAGTGGAATGCTGATTACAACAGCTTTAATTCATTAATTTGCATATTCCTACCATCAATTCACATTCCCAGTGTTTATTAGAATGTTGCAACGAAATTAAATGGCATTTATTTTTATTTGGAGACATCTTCTCGTAGTATATAAAAACAAAAGGGATTGTATGTAAAGAGATAAAAGTAAATTTTGGGGAATCAACAATAAGAATAAGTTTTAATTTATGTTAACATTATAAAAGGTAGATTGTAAGGCCAAAACACTTTAATAACGATAAAGAAGATAATAATATAATGACAAAAAAGAAGAATACTGAATTTGAGTGCACCTAGAAAAATATCTGAAAAATTATATTGGTCAGAATTTCAAAAACATGACAGTAATACTCATAGATTTTAGAATATTTCACTAAGAAATGTGACATGTAACTTCTTCATCAAGTAGAAAATTGATATGAATAGAAAAGATTTGAACATCATCATTAACAAGCTGGACACAGTAGGTATCAATATATTAACAATCTAAAACTTAAAAGATATAAGTTCAATGCAATAATACTGAAATCAGTTTAAAAGTATTTTTAAAATAATTTATGATATAAATTAACAAGTATCTAGAACTGAGATGCAATGACAAATCAGTCGTGCTACATAAAACTGCTCATACCATATCACCTGAAAATTTTGCTTCTCCCTATACATCTGATATATCTTCTTGCAAATGTCCATTGAGAAAGTTACATAAAGTAATTTCTACTTTAAAATTGTTTTTGTTTAAAATGCAAACTTCTGGTTCCACATGTAAGAAGTTTGGAAATCACCACTCTGTTCTAACAAGAAGTTTAAAGCTGAACAAACTGAAAAATCAACAGCTTTTCTTAGCTGTATCAGAGAAATGAGGTCCCAGGGAAAATTGCAGCTCCTAACATTGGAGAGACAGGCAAGTAGATACAGAGACTCACAGTGCAACAGAGTAAAAACCTATGAGCATAAATATTTGTGGGAACCAGTGCCAGGGTAGAAATACCTGAACTATAATAGATTAATTGTTTGAGGCTCAGTGTGGACCAATCCAGGGGTTAAAAATTCAACGGGATCAAATTATTAGAAGGGGCCCAGACGTTTGTGAGATTTACCTCCAGGATTATGATCAGGTTCTCACAAGAAATATCAAAGAAAAATTGTCTCATGCTTCCTGCAGGGGAATGGAAAAGGAATCATTTTGAAATATGCTACAGCATTTTCTTCTTTTGAGTAAGGTAACCAGAGCTTAACCTGCTGGATTTTTGTTTGTTTGTTTGTTTGTCAGGGTATAATTGGCATGGGGAAAGAGAAACACCCCACTCTAGCCAGGTCTAGCCTTTCAAGTGGAGTGTAGACATATTCAACTTTAACCCACTATAGCCACCCTATTTTAGCTAAGAGGGAGCAGAGACTGAGAAACACTTGGGAAGTTCACAGCCTAGAGTTGCAGGCTTCCTAAAAGACTAAGATCTAATCACAGGACTATAGAATGTTTTCCTCCCCCCCACACCTTATCAACACTTCACTAAAGGCCTATTTATAGCAATTCCTTTTATTCGGTACATCATATCCAGCTATCAAAGAAAAGTACAAGACATACTAAAAAGGGGAAAAGTAAAGTTTGAAAAGATAGAAAAAGTATCACAACTGGACATGGCAGGGAGTTTGGGATTACCAGACAGTAAATTTAAGACAAGCATGATGAATATAATAGGGCGCTAATGAATAAAGTAGATCTGCAAGAACAGATGAGAAATATGCATGGAGATATAAAATTCCTAAGAAAGAACCAAAAAATGTTAATGATAAAAAATAACTATAAGAGAAATGAAGAATGCCTTTGGTGGACTTATTAGTAGACTGAATATGGCTGCAGAAAGAATCCCTGACCAGGAGGCTACATCGTTAGAAATCTGAGAAGTAGAAAAGCTAAAAAGAATAAAGACTGAAACAAATAGAACAGAATATCCAAAAAGTAGAACATTTACAAAAGGTGTAAGTAATGTGTAATAGAAATACCAGAAGGAGAAGAAAGAGAGAAAATAAGACAATAAATATTAATGAAACAGAATTTCTGCAACTTAATGTCAGACATCAAGTTACAGATCCTGATGTTCTCAGTGAACATCAAGTAGGACAAATGCAAAAAAATCCCATATATCTGTGCATATAATATTCAAATGACAGAAGTCAAGATAAAGAAAAAATTCTGAAAGATAGAGGAAAGTCACCTTACCTATGGAGGAACAAAAATAATAATTACAGCTCTCTTCTCAGAAACCATGCAATCAAGAAGAGAGTACAGTGAAGTAATTAAAGTGTTGAGACAAAAAAAAAATCTACTAACCTAGACCTAGAATTCTGTATACTGAAAAAGTATCTTCAAAAGTTAAATTGAAATAAAGACTTGCAAAAATTGACAAACAAAACAAAACAAAAATTAGGAGAATTTGTTGTAAGTAGACCTGCGTTTCAAGAAATGTTAAAAAAAAAAAGTATTTTAGAGAGAAGAAAAAAATAGTATATGTCAGAAAAGTCAATTTACATAGAGAAAAAAGATCATGAAAGAAGAAATAAGTGAAAGTAAACTAAAAAATATTTAATTGATTTAAAAGAGTACAGTTTGTTCAATATAATAACAACAATGTATTGTATATGCGTTTGTATATATCATATACATGTCTATGTAAGCATATATATAAATGAGGTAAATGACAGCAATAATAAAAATGATGAAAAGAAGATATTTGAATTATTTTATTATAAGATACTGACAATTCCCATGAAGTAGTATATAGCATTATTTGAAAACACATTTGAATTAGTTTTAAATGTAAATTGCAAATTCTAGGGCAAAAATGTGAAATAAAGAAGTATAGCGTAGACTAAGGGGAAAGAAAGGAAGATTATACAATTCTCAAAACAAAAGGCAGGCCGGGTGCGGTGGCTTATGCCTGTAATCCCAGCACTTTGGGAGACGGAAGCGGGTGGAGTGCCTGAGGTCAGGAGTTTGAGACCAGCCTGGCTAACATGGTGAAACGCCATTTCTACTAAAAATACAAAAATTAGCCAGGCGTGGTGGTGCATGTCTGTAGTCCCAGCTGCTGGGGAGGCTGAGGCAGGAGAATTGCTTGAACCCAGGAGGCGGAGGTTGCAGTGAACTGAGATTGTGCCACTGCACTCCAGCCTGGGTGACAGAGCAAGACTTCATCTCAAAAAAAAAAAAAAAAAGCAGAAAAAGAATGGAAAAATAAAAATATGAACAATAAAAATAATCAATAGAAACAGTAACAAATACAGAAGGTTCTAAGCCAATTATGTCAATAATTACTTTGAATACCAATGGTCTACATGCATCAATTGCATGACAGATTGTCACAATGGATTAAAAAGTAAGACTCAACTATATTGTCAATACAAATACTCAATTTTAATGTAAATAGACATACATATTAAAAGCACATGAACATAGACAAATATGCCATGCTAACATTTAAAACTGAAGTGGAAACAACAGTATTCATTTCAGACAGACAAGACATAAAGCAAGAAAAGTTATCAGGAACAAAAAGTGGCATTATTTAATGATAAAGGAGTCGATTCTTCAAGAAGATAAAACAATCCTTAACATAGATGCAACTAACAACAGAGCATCAAAAAATACGAGGCAAAAACTGACAACAGCAAGGAGACCTTAATAAACCAACTATTACAGTTGGATATTTCAGTGGTCCTCTCTGAGAAATACAGATGCCTAGCAGGCAGAAAATTGGTGAGTATTTGAACATAGTTGAACTCAACAGCACCACAAATTAACTAGATATAATGGACATCTATAGACAACTTTATCCAACAACAGCCAAATATGCATTATTCTCAAGCTCACATGAAACATTCACCAAGATACATCACATTCTGAGGCATAAAATGCTAACATATCTAAAATAATAGTCATTCAAGACCTGTTCTAAGGCCACAATGGAATTTAACTAGAAAGCAATAGTATAAAGATAAGTCAAAAATCCTCAAATACATGGAGATTAAGCAACACATTTCTATATAACGCTTACATCAAAGAAAAAATTTAAAGAGAAATTAGAAAGTATTTTTAACTAAATAAAAAAAATCAAAGTGTGTGAGATGAAGCAAAAGTAGTGCTTAGAGGGAAACATGATGTTGAATGCATATATTAGAAAAAAAGTCTAAAATTAGTCATCTAAATTACCAACATAGGAAACTAGAAAAAGACAAGCAAAGTAAATCTAAAACAAGCAGAAGAAAATAAATAAAAATAGATATATCAATTAAATGGGAAAGAGAAAGTCAGTAAAGAAAATCGATGAAACTGACAGCTGCTTTTTTGAAAGGATCAATAAAATTGATAAGCTCCTTACCAGGTTAATTAGGGGAAAAAGAGAGACGACACAAATTACTAATATCAGAAATGAAAGAGTATACATCACTACAGATCCCATGAGCATTAAAAAAATAATTAAGCAATAATATGGACAAGTCTATGCCCACAAATATGATAGCCTAGATGAAATGTACCAATTCCTTGAAAGGCACAATTTGCCAAAACTCACACTAGAGGAAATAAACAATCTGAACAGATTTTTTTGCTATTGAAGAAATTTAATCAATAATTAATATTTTAGAACAGGAGACACAAGGCCTAGATGAGTTCACTGGTGAATTCTACCACACATTTAATATACAAATTATACTCATCCTCTACAATGTCTTCCAGAAGATAGAAGTGGGAGAAATAGCTCCTAATTCTTCCTATGAAGGCAGCATAACCCTAATACCAAAACAAGACATTAAAAAGAAAATAAAATTAGGAATAAATATCTTTTATGAACACAGAAGCATACATTCTCAACAAAATATTAGCAAATTTAATTGAACAATGTATAAAAATAATTATATACCACAAACAAGGAAGAATTATGTCACATATATAAGGCTGGGTCAACATTCAAAGATCAATTAATGTAATTTATCACATCAACAGGGTAATGAAGAAAAATCACATGATTATGTCAATAGATACAGAAAAAGCATTTGAAAAAATTTAACAGACATTCATGATAAAAAAAAAACTCCCTGTAAACCAGGAATAGAAGAGAACTTTCTGAACTTGATAAGAAATATCTACCCCCCAAAATATATACATATAATTATATATAAATATATATTAAAAATACATCCCTCATTATTAATGTTGTAGTGAAAGTCATAACAAATGCAAAAAGAAAAAAAAATAAAGATATACAGATTATTAGGGAAGAAATAAAACTTTGTTTGCAGATAACACGATTATCTATGAATAAAGCCTGAAAAAATCATCAGAAGAATGCCTGGAATTAATGAGCAAGTACAGCAAGGAATCAAGTTACTGATTAATATGCACATCAATCATGTTTGTGTACACCAACAATGAATGAGTGTAATTTGAAAATTAAAACATACTACCATTTACATTACCTTCCCCCAATGTGAAAATTTTAGGTAAAAATCTAACAAAATAGGTATAAGATCTAAATGAAGAAAACTACAAAACTCTGATAAAGTAAATTAAAGAAAAACTAAACCAAGAGAAATTTCATGTTTATGAATAGGAACTCTCAGTATTATCAAGATGTGAGTTTTTTCCAACTTAAACTATAGACCCAATGTAATTCCAATCAAATACCAGCAAGTTATTTTGTGTATATTCTCAAACTAATTTAACAGTTTTTATTGAGATGCCAAGGAACCCTAGTAGCTAGTAGCTAAAACAATATTAAAGGAGAAGAACAAAGTCATGGGACTAACACTTCCTGAATTTAGCACTTATTATAAAACTACGATAATCAAGACAGTGTGGTGTTGTTGAAAGAATAGACAAATTGATAAAGAGAATGGAAGGGAGAATCCAGAAACTGATGCACATACATATAGCTAACTGATCTTGTATTTAGGAGCAAAAGCAATACAATGGAACAAAGAAAAACAAAACAGTGCTGGAACGGCTGGACATCCACAGACAAAATACATGAATGTAGGCAAAAACATTGCACCATTCACAAAAATTAACTCAAAGTGAGTCACAAACCTAAGTCTAAAATGCAAAATTGTAAAATTTTTAGTAGAAAATGTAGGAGAAAATTTACATGACCTTGGGTTTGACAACGACTGAATATAACACCAAACAACAATTGATGAAAGGAAAAATTAATATACTAGATTTTATCACAATTAAAATTTGTGCTTTGTGAAAGACAATGTCAAGAGAATGAGCTGGAAACTGAAGAAAAATATTTACACAATACACATCTGATAAAGGACTGTTGTTTAAAATATACAAAGAACTCTTAAAACTCAACAATAAGAAAGCAAACAACCTGACTAAAAAATAGGCCAAAGACTTTAACAGATACTTCACCAAAGAACATATACACATGGCAAATAATTATATAAAAAGATGCTCTAAATTATATGTCATTAAATCCAAGTTAAATCAACAATAAAATGCTTCTACACCTATATCAGAATAACCCAAAACCAAAACACTAACACGAAATGCTGGCTGAGATGTGGTACAATAGAAATTATCATTCATTGCAAAAGGGAATACAAAATGCTACAACCACCTTGGAAGCATTTATAAAACTAAACATACTCATTATAAAATACAGTAATCACTTTCTTTGATATTTATCTAAATTATTTCCACGCAGAAACCTACACATACATGTTTATATCAGCTTTATTCAAAATTGCTAAACCTTGGAAACAACAAAATCATCTGTCAGTGGCTGAATAAATAAATAAACTGTGGTAGATCTAGACAATAGAATATTATTCATTCCTAAAAAGAAATGAGCTATGAATTCATGAATAGAAATGGAGAACACTTAAATGCATATCACTAGGCAGAAGAAGCCAATCTTAAAAGGCTATATACTATATAACGGCAACTACATGACACTCTGCAAAACTATGGAGGCAATAAAAAGATCAGTGCTTGTCAGTGATTAGGGGAGGGGGGGATAGGTGGAACACTGAAGATTTTTAAGGCAGTCAAAATACTCCTTATGGTGCCATAATGGCGGACATTTTTAATTTTATACATTTCTGCAAAGACATAGATGGTACAATATCAAGAGTGAATCCTAATATAAACTATGGACTCTGGGTGATGATGTGTCAACGGAGGTTCATCAGGTGTAACAAATGTACCACTCTGGTGGGGATGTTGATAATGGGAGAGGCTATGCATATGCAGGAAAAGGGGATATTAGGAAATCTCTGTACCTCTTTGTTTAGTTTTGCTATGAACTGAAACTTCTCTCAAAAAATAAAATTGAACACAAAGCAAAGCAAAACAAAAAAATGTAAAAAATTAAATTGTCCTTTCATAGAAAATGGATTAATCCTATGTTATACAGAATTAAAATTAACAAAATAGTTCTACATAATTAATCATAAACTTCAAAATGTGAAAAATATTCAAAGTTATGGAAATTGATAGGTGTCACATAAAATTTAAAAACATGCAAAACTTATTACTTAAATATTACATATAAGTTCAGCAGAATACCACAAAATAGGAGTGGTTTGTATTTCTGGACAGTCAAGTTAGCTGGAAAAATAGATTTGATGTTAGAATTTTAAACTGATTTCACAGTTTTTGTTCATATACATATATGCTAAATGTCTAATGTCTGTTTTAAATTAAAAAATGATCATGACAAAGTTTATACTATTGTTTTAAAAATTTTTGAATGTTAAATATTTATGTTAATTGATTTAAAATAAACAAAAAAATTGACTTGTGATTTATATTTTCTTAATTTTTAAAATTTTGAACAGGTCTGCCTTTCCTTCACATATAAAAACTGATAACTTGGCTTAGTCAAAATAATTGTAGCTTTTGGCTGGACATGGTAGCTCATGCCTGTAATCCCATCACTTTGGGAGGTCAAGCTGGGTGATCACCTGAGGTCAGGAGTTTGAGACCAGCCTGACCAACATGGTGAAACCCCATCTCTGCTAAAAATACAAAACTTAGTCAGGCGTGATGGTGAGCGCCTGTAATCCAAACTACTTGGGAGGCTGAGGCAAGAGAATTGCTTAAACCCAGGAGGCAGAGGTTGCAGTGATCTGAGATCACGCCATTGCACTCTAGCCTAGAGACAGAGCGAGACTCCATCTCAGAAAAAAAAAATAAAAAAATAAAAAAGAATAAAAAATAATTATAATTGTCACTTTTTTTCCTTCTCTAGACTCTGTATTGCTCAGTTATATTAGTCACTTTTAGATTTTTTAAAAATGTGGACTATCTGTGTGTCATGCATAGATTGTCACCTATTTTATTGCCCCATGAGTACAAAATTTATTCTTTAAACTTTACACGCTTCACCTTGATATACACTGATGTCAATCACTCTTGCATTTTGCCTGGCACTTGGTGAGCCTTTTTCTTTTTCTTTTGAGACAGGGTCTCACTCTGTCTCACAAGCTGGAATGCAGTGTCATGATCGTGGCTCACTGCAGGCTCAACCTCCCTGGAATCAGGTGATCCTCCCACTTCAGCCTCCCAAGTAGCTGGAAGTACAGCTGTGCCCCACCACACCCAGCTAATTTTTCTATTTTTTGTAGAGGTGGGGTTTCTCCATGTTGCTCAGGCAGGTCTTGAACTCCTGAGCTCAAGCAATACACCCACCTTAGCTTCCCAAAATTCTGGGATTACAAAAATGAACCACCATGCCTAGCCTGATGAAAACTTTTTATAAGCTGATTTAGACCTTTTTTTTTTTGCCAAAAAATTTATAATAACTAACTCTTTTCCTCTTGCTGTTTTTTAGAGCATTTTTCATTTTTTTAAACAGAGTTTGTGTTGCTCTGAATGTTACTAATTGGAAAGTATTTATTTGTATAAATTTTCCATTTTGTATATTTCCTTAATTTCAACTACATTTTTTTCTTAGCATCCATAGTATTATGATTATTATCTTTTGCACTAGAAAATGTCTGTATAGCTGCCTTATGGTGATTTTTTCCATGTTTATTCATCTTTAATTAGATTATTAAACAATCCATTCCTTTTAAATGGGAGCTACATGTAATTTAGATTACTTTTGTTTTTATGTAGTGGGCTCCTAAGTGCTACCGGATTTTTATTTATTTTAAATCAAAAGTCTCATTGGTTTTTATTGCTTCTACATGTTCATTTGGCATATTTGCAGTTCTAAATATTAAAGTCTAGTGACTTAAAAGACAATATCCTGGTCATACTATGAATATATTTATGAGAGTAAGAGTTTATGTATGAATACTCTGAGAATATTTAAAGCAATACTTTGTAAGGAATTTTGAATTAAAATTTATAGCCAGCAAGTCCTACCTATGACTTCTTGAGGTTTAACATTTTCTCCTTCAAACTTCTTTTCCTTGGAAATGAAAACTTTCCTTAAATCATTTTTGTTGTAATATTCATTGAATAGGTTGAAATACAGCCTAAAATTATTTAAGTACAAATATGTTAGTGGGCCTTATTCAGGAGTGAAATTCTTTACTGTCTTGGAAAGCAGTTAGAAAGCTGGTTTCTTTTTCAGGTTTATCCTTTCCAAGGAGAGAGATATGAATTGATCAAAACTGCATACTGATTTTTTTCCCCAATGGCTTAATACATATTTCTGGTTTTGATTCTAAAAATTTTTCATCTTGACATGCAGTCTATTAGACAATTTTCTTTTTAATTTTTAGGGCTATTGAAATTTGCATCACTAATATTCTTTTCCTTAATCCTTCAACGGGAAGATTTTATAGAGTACATCAGAACTTTTAGTCAATTCGACCTCAAATTGTAGAGATAACACTTAGTTTCACATTTATGTATCAACTTGTTCTTATATTTTCAACTACTCAAAAGCAGGGATCATTTCCTCTCACATTTGTTGCTTTGATTTTAGTGTTTAGTGCAGTGGATACACGTGGTAAACTCTTAATAATTTTTGTTTCTGAAAGTAAATATTAATTTCATGTTATCATAATCGGAATAAAACTAATAGGTAATTGAAATATGAAAACCAATTGACATTAAGTTTACATCTCTGGTTAGTTCCTAGATCTCTGTCAGTATAATTGACTTCTGATTGACAATTATGTAAAACAATAGTAGTAGAATTCTATTTATTTATTGTCTATAAATAGAATATGAAATATATTTAAAATAGGATATAAAATAGATTACATTCTAAAAAGAAACAAAATTTTACAATGCTTTAGGCCAACAAAACACATACAATTGTAATGACGTGTTATTCCGTTTAGCACACCAATTTGTTATCTAAGTTCTGCAATATTTTTATCAATCTTATAAAAACTGCAAAGGAGAGATTAGAAAAATAATTAATTTCACCTTCAAATTATCTAAAATGATAGAGACTAGAAATTCCACTTTTATGGTGTCCTAGAACAATCTAATAAAAATGGTCATAGTTACTAGTCTGTATAACAATAAACCAAAAGAGTGTGTGTAAACTTGTGTATATTGAAAAATTCAGTGAAGGCAACTGAGATGAATTTTCAGCAAAACAATATTGAAATCAAATTATAAATCAAGAAATTGTTTTGTACAGTGTAATACATCCTATTAAAGTGGGATGATAAAACTGCTGAGAGAAAACATGGAGAAGCAGAATATACCTGTGTTTCACCAGTGCTGGCCTCCAAGAAAGTTGCACAAAGAAAGATTTTAGTACTTTCAGCAGCTCTCTGTAAATTGGAGATGGTTACATAAAGCTATTATAATTGTATACAACTAGACATTAATATCATTCTGATTTATCTGATTTGATTATATATTTATTAACAAACCTGTATTTGTCTGTTTTAATGCTGCTAATAAAACATATGTGCAAATGGGTTATTTATAAAGAAGTTTAATTAACTCACAGTTCCACATGGCTGGAGAGGCCTCATAATCATGGCAGAAGGCAAATAAGAAGCAAAGGCATGTCTTACATGGTGGCAGGCAAGAGGACTTGTACAGGGTAACTCTCATTTCTAAAACAATCAGATCTTGTTAGACTTATTTACTACCATGAGAAAAGTATGGAGGAAACCACCCCTATGATTCAATTGTCTCCACCTGGCCCTGGTCTTGACATGTAAGGATTATTACAATTCAAGGTGAGCTTTGGATGGGGACACAGCCAAACCATATCATTTATCCCCTGGCCACTACCACATCTCATGTCCTCACATTTCAAAACCAATGATGCCTTCCCAACAGGCCCCCAAAGTCTTAACTCATTTCAGCATTAATTCATAAATCTACAGTCGAAATTCTCATCAGAGACAAAGCAAGTCCCTTCTGCCTATGAACCTGCAAAATCAAAAGCAAGTTAGTTACTTCCTAGGTACAATGGGGGTACAGGCGTTGGTAAAAACACCCATTACAAGTGGGAGAAACTGTCCAAACCTAAGAGTCTACAGGCCCCATGGAAATCCAAGATCCAGAGGGGCAGTCATATAGTAAAGCTCCAAAATGATCTTCTTTGACTCCATGTCTCACATCCAGGTCACACTGATGAAAGAGGTGGGCTCCTATGACCTTTGGCAGCTCTGCCCCTGTGGTTTTGCAGTGTACAGGCCCCCTTCCGGCTGCTTTCATGGGCTGGCACTGAGTGTCTGTGGCTTTTCCAGGTGCACAGTGCAAGCTGTTGATGAATCTACCATTCTGGGGTCTGGAGGATGTTGGCCCTCTCCTCCCTGCTCCACTAGCCAGTGCTCCAGTTGGGACTCTGTGTGGGGGCTCCAACCCCACATTTCCCTTCTGCACTGCCCTAGCAGAGGTTCTCCATAAGAGCTCCACCCCTGCAGCAGACTTCTGCCTAAACTTCCAGGCATTTTCATACATCCTCTGAATCTAGGCAGTCGTTCTAAGCCTCAATTACTCTCTTTTGCACACCCATAGGACAAAAAACACGTGGAAGCTGCCTAGTCCTGGGGGTTGCACCCTCTGAAGCAACAGCCTGAGCTGTATCTTGGCCCCTTTTGGCCACAGCTAAAGATGAAGCAGCTGGGCCACAGGGCACCATGTCCCAAGGCTGCATAGGGTAGGGGAGACCGGAGCCCAGCTCAGGAAACCAAATTTTCTCCTAGGTGGCTTGTGATGGGAGGGACTATCATGAAGTTCTCATTGTCTTGCTGAATAACACTCCTAGTTACTTATGCAGTTTTTTTCTGCTGGCTTGAATTTCTCCCAAGAAAATGGGGTTTCTTTTCTATCACATAGTCAGGCTGCAAATTTTTCAAGTTTTTATGCTCTGTTTTCCTCTTGAATTCTTTGCTGCTTTGAAACTTCTGCCAGATACCCTAAATCATATCTCTCAAGTGCGAAATTCCACAAGTGTCTAGGACAGGGGCAAAATATCACCAGTCCCTTTGCATAGCAAGAGTGACCTTTAGTCCATTTCCCAACAAGTTCCTCATCTTCATCTGAGACCACTTCAGCCTCGACCTTATCGTCCATATCGCTATCAGTATTTTGGCCAAAGCTATTAAACAAGTCTCTAGGAAGTTCCAAACTTTCCCACATATTCCTGTCTTCTCCTCAGCCCCCCAAACTGTTCCAACTTCTGCCTGTTATCCAGTTATGAAATAGCTTCCATGTTTTTGGGTGTCTTTACAGGAGCACCCCACTCTCTGCAGTAGCAATTTATTGTGTTAGTCTGTTCTTAACCTGCTAATAAAGACATATGCGAGACTGGGTAATTTATAAAGAAAACAGTTCTAATAGACTTGCAATTCCACATGGCTGTAGAGGCCTCACAATTATGGCAGAAGGTGAAGGAGAAGCAAAGACATGTCTTACATGGTGGCAGGCAAGAGGGCTTGTGCAGGGGAACTCCCATTTATAAAACCATCAGATCTTGTGAGACTTATTCGCTACCATGAGAACAGTATGGGGGAATCCAACCTTATGATTCAATTATCTCCACCTGGCCCTGCCCTTGACACATGGGGATTATTACAATTGAAGTTGAGATTTTAGTGGGGACACAGCCACAACATACCACCTCCTAAATATAAATTTATATTATTTACAATTATTTCATTGAAGGGAAAAATGTGGCGCAGTGAAGACTATTTTCTTTGCTTTATATAGGTCTCTTTTACAAGACATTAATAGATAGCATTTCAGCATAAGTATCGCTTTATTCAGTAAGGGTAAGAATATAAGAATGACAATTTCTATTTTTTCTCACAATGCTGATTTTCTTATTTATAAAAAGCTGAAGACCAGAAACTGTTTCCACACAAAAGTAATGCCTCAAGACGAGATCCCACCTTCATGTACAAATAGTGACTATAAGTAATAATACTTGTAAATCATATTATCTCTTTAAACAATACAGACTTTGATTTTATTACTGTATTGAAGAGAACTTTGTTGCTGTTAAGTGCATACTACAGAAAACATGGTGTTCTAGGACTGAAAATTTAAAATGAGTTTTTCTCTGTTATGTATTGCAGGGAGAAATGATTTTATCTCTAGGTTTTTTGGCTAGGTTTTTTTGGCTAGGCCTGAGAATTAAATTTACATAAGACAGATAACAGGAGAAAATCATACGAATGTATTTAAAACAAGATTTAATGGAAGAAAGAATAATTTGAAAATTCTGAAATTTGGCATGGGAACATTCATAAGGAAATGAACATCCAAAGACAGATAGATTTGAGCACTTACATACACTTACATAGTAAATTGGACAAACAGTAGGAAATTTTGGAAATAAGTCAATGGAGCTTGGGCTACCCTAGTTAAGTGGATAGAGAAGAAATTAGAAAGATAAGAGTGAGTTCAACAAGTTTTGTTTGTACAGATTTCCCTCAGCCTCACCTTTCCAGCTTTTATAATAAGAATGATACTGATAATTTTCTATTGGTTTAGGGAGAACATCTTTCATATGGCAATTTCATTTCTTGCTTTTAAGAAGGAAGGTCAGAGTGTTCTTGGAACTGCTGTTTTACAACTACCTTTAACTTAAAATAGTCAGTATTCCAGGGAAGCGTGTTTTAGGGTGGTGTGTTCTAAACTTCTTCAATATTATGAAGTAAATTTAAGCATGTCTTCTGTCTGCTCTCTAATCTCTATGTCAATAATATCTTTTCAATTTATTTCAAAGTGATGTCAAGATTTGCGAGTTAAAAAAACAAATATAATAAATTTTGAAATGTGCTAGTGAAATGAAGAAAACCAATGCATGAAAATGCTAATGAATGGGCTTAATTCATTATTATTTTTTTTTAGATGGCATCTCTTTCTGTTGCTCAGGCTGGAGTGCAGTAACGTGATCTTGGCTGACTGCAGCCTTGACCTCCTGGGCTCAAGCAATCCTCCTGCCTATACCTCCCAAATAGATGATACCACAGGTGGGTGCCACCACACTCAGCTAATTTTTGTATTTTTAGTAGAGACAGGGTTTCATCATGCTGCCCAGGCAGGTCTTGAACTCCTGACCTCAAGTGATCTGCCTGCCTCTGCCTCCCACAGTGCTGGGATTACAGGTGTGAGCCACTGAGTCTGGCATGGTTTAATCCATTTGATACAAATTTATCCTCTCGTTGTTTAAGATAGTCACCAATGATCTCCTCTTTGACTACTTTATTGAATAATCATTAAATTAATAGAGCATACAAATTATATTCAGGTCATTTAATTTTCCTTTTTTATTTTTCTTACTAGAGTATAAAAACAGTTACCAGAATACCATTAAGTACTAAGTTACTTTTATTAGTGATGAGACCAAAAGGAAAAAAAATATACTATTGATATTGTCCAAATGACTTCAGAAAAATCTTGTAAGCCCTTGGGTGAATGGTTGCTGGTGATTAGAAAGCAATTCTGATAGGTATAGAGAAATAAATCCAGAACTCAGTAGTTGATACTCAGGAACAGCCAGTTTGCATCCATAATTAGATTTGAGCAATTGTCAAAATGTAAACATAAGTAGTTGGAGCTTTTCTAAAACCTGCAGTGTTTCTACATATAGGCAGAGCACGGTGACGTTTCTCCCTCTGATCTAATTAGCAACAAGAAAATAAATTTAAAATATAAGGGAACAAAGAAGAATTTGAAAATTCTGTTATTCTTTGAATGTACTTGGTCATTTAGAGGTGAGTTCATATTAAGGCAAATTATTTTACAATAACAAAGGAACAAAGAAATAGAACTGGCTAAGGTAATACATTTCTAGTTAAAGGCATCTCAAAAAATGGAAGGTAAGAACTTCTTTTATCGAGAAGCAAGATTTATTGGGCCATATAGTAAATTAAAGGAATAAGTCTAAAAACTTTATATCATTATGAAATGTCATTGTGAGAATCAAATTCTGTTGTTTTTTATTCCAACTATAAATAACATGTGTTGCTTTGCTTATTTAAAACATTAGTGGGTGAAATTTTTGTGTTCTTTAACATTTTTATACAACTGAAACTTTAAAATGTTTTGTGTCTAACTATATTTATCTACTTTCCACCGAAATTTTTCCGACATGTTTATATTTAAGCACACCATTCTAATGCCACTGTAATTAAAAAACAAAGCAACATGGATGTTTTTCTGACATGATATTTGTTCCTCCACATATATTTATTAATTCAGTAAAGATCTTCCCAATGTAAAAATCCTCACTTAATCAAATTCAACTAAACTATTAGAATCATATTTTAATCAATGATGCTTATCAAGAATGAAACTTACACATTTTGATCAAGGAAGGTAGAATATATTGGGAATCTATACAAATAGTACATATCAACACGAAAACCTGATGTAATATTCCAGTTTTGTTTAAAACACACACACACAAAGCACACACACACCCTTACCCCAAAGGTAAGAATTTGCCTTTTATTTTAGACTCATAAGAATTAATTTTTAAGGATATTTTTAAATAAATAGGGGTTTAGTACATAACTCTACATTTTTAAATCTGTCTTCATATTCAGTAATCAGCCCACTTGCTTTTCAATTAGTTGAGGTTACACAGTTTCATTTAATATTTGAATTATTCAGTTTAGTTCAAGTAACAAATTCAGACTTAAATGTGCTCAAAGGGGTAGAAAAATTAATTGCAATTTAGAATGTAGCATTTACAAAAATATGTCCTCCAGCAGCCTGGAACTTAAAAATATTTGGGTTAAAATTTGAAAAGTTATTCATTTGAAGCTCCAAAAGTATGCCAAGTTTACAAAAATATTAAATAAACAATATTACTCATACATTACTTGATAATTTCATAATTTTTATTTATTTGCAAAGTGAGTGGCACAGGGACATAATAGGCATAACTTAAAAATACGTAATGTAAATATTACAGCACTGTAAACAATTTTTATGAAAGCATTAATAAAATACTATTTGTATTTAGAAATGTATTTACAGATCAGCAGTCCAGTACATGAAGGTGTTCAGCATTGAAAATCACAACAATAGTGCAAGCTTACATGTTTTAGAGTACTTACTATATGAGCTACTGTAATAGAAATTTTGCAATGTGCTAGAAAATGGTACTGCCTCCTTTTTATGTTTCAATAACGTGATGAAGTATGTACTATTATGTTTTCTAGAATGTGTGGATGTTGATATCATAAAACATTGTTTGGATAAAAAATCATACATTGTAAAGCATGCATGCCATTTATTATTTAAAATTAACAACAAACCCAGATACATACATTGCATAGACAACATCAGACCAGATTTGAAAATCAGGAAGATAAGAATTAGAAAATAAAAATGACTTCCTTATGTACACATATCAAACTCTCTAAAATTAAAAATCTAGCTTTATAATTTACATCTTGCTGTTATTACTGTCTAGACCACATTTGGAATAGTATTTAGTGCTGATTAATGCTAATAACAATAATTAATGGTGAAAAATATAACCAATAGTATTTACTAAAGGGAAATATGGTTATTATTGATGTATCTTTATGATCAATTCATATTTAATATATTATCAAATTTATAGAAATATCTACTTCAGTATTTTTCAATGAGAGATGGATTTTTAAAAATTATTATGCTGTGCCCTTACCTTTAGTTTATGGCAACACATTGCCTTTGATGGACTGTTTTTTTTTTCACCTATCGATCTTTGAATAATTAGAAGACATTGTACAATCAATGTGTTTATTTAGTGATTTATTGTGAGAGTGTAACCCCCCCATACACCATTTTAATAGAGATAACAAAAAGTTATTATAAGATTAATAATAATCCTCTGGTCTGTGGCATCTTAAAATTATAAAAATATAGTAATTCCTCTAAGTAGTGTTTTGCTTGTTCTTTGTTAGTTTTCTATCGGCTGAATTTATGCACTATAGAAAATTATGTAAACAATCTGCCAATTTATGGCAATATTAGTTTTCTTTCTTTTTTAAATAAAATATTATATTAATTAGTTTATACTCACATAATGACTCTATTTCCTCTCAACTGACAGTGAGAATATAATATTAGTAAAAGCCGTTCTTCCTATGCCCCCATATAATTATTCTTGGAACACCCTTGGCATGTATAAACATCTCCAGAATTTGCTTTGACTAATGCACAACTCTAGAAAAAAAATTATTTGAGGTAAGGTGTGAATTTGAATTTAACAATGCAAGTAGAAGAATTTAGAGGAACTAATCAGGTTGCAGATGGGGGCATAATTAGTTTGCCAAGCATGTTATAAACTATTGAGAACAATTGTCAACGGCTCTTATTGAAAGTGGAAGGAAGGCTAACGTAGAGAAAAGTTTGATACAACTCTATCCCATTTTAGGTAATCTGTTGGGATTGTATTATTACAGATAATGGTCTATCTAGGTACTTGTAATCCTGTGATACTATTTTCAAATAAGCAGAAATAATCTGTTTCTTACAAATATAAAATTTAACAAATATGAGAATAATCTAAAAGAAAGCACATCGCAAAAGTCTAGGATAAAGTTTCATGCATTGCTACTTTGTTAACATTTCAAGCATAATAATAAACAAATCTTCCGAAAATTTTCTTTGCTTCACATATAAAAATGTACAGAAGTTAAATAATTTTATCCTTCTTTATTTCCCATTATTTTTGCGTCTTTTGGAATTAAATGCAAGCTAAAATAGATATAACTAGAACTTATTAAAACTACATCTTCAGAGTAATCCTGTTATCTAAAGTTTAAATTTAAGGGAGGCAGAACTTTACCTATATTCATTTTAAATTCTCAGCTGGGGCTTTTTAACAAAAAGATTAACAAGAGAAAAATATGCCCCATGCAGGAGAAATCTCAATGAACAGTAACTAAAAAAGATGGCTTAGAACCCCAACTTGTATAACTACTTTAACAAAGAATAATAAAGTTGTAGAGAAATGACAGGACAGAGAAAAACAGTTTTAGGCTTCCATAGCTGGAAACTTAAAACTCACCCATATTTTCACATTGTTCTTTTTCCCCAGAGACTTTAGCAAGCATCTCTTTATTTCTGTTGTCTCTGAGTTACAGATCTGTGAAGGCCAATTTTAGGTGTCAACTTGATTGGATTAAGGATACCTAGAAAACTTGTAAAGTATTATTTCTGGCTGTATCTGTGAGGTTGTTTCCAGAGGACAGTGGTGAACTAAGTGGGGAGGGTCTGCCCTCAATGTGGCGTGGCAACATCCAATTGGCTGAGTCCAGATACAACAAATAAGGCAAAGGAAAGGTGATCCTCTTTCTCCTCAAACTGGGCAATATAGATTGGCTGCGTCCCCACCCAAATATCATCTTGAATTCCCATAATCCCCACATATCGTGGGAAGGACCTGATGGGAGGTAATTGAATCACGGGGGTGGTTACCTCCATGCTGTTCTCGTGATAGTGAGTTCTCACGAGACCTGACGGTTTTATGAGGGGCTTTTCCCTCTTTTGCTCAGCATTTCTCCTTGCTGCCGCCAGGTGAAGAAGGACGTGTTTGCTTCCCTTTCTGCCATGAATGTTTCCTGAGGCCTCTCCAGCCCTGTGGAAATGTGAGTCAATTAAACTTTTTTCCTTTATAAACAACCCAGTCTGGGATATGTCTTTGGTAGCAGTGTGGAAATTGACTAATAAAGTGGAAACTTCACAACTCCAGGTTGTCTATCCTCTGGGCTTCAGGACTTATATCAATGGTCCTCCAGATTCCTAGGCCTTCAGTATCAGACTGAGAGTTACACCACCAACTTCCCTGAGGCTTTCAAAAATGAACTGCTGGACACTAGCAGCATCCCTGGGTCTCCTGCTTGCTGATGGCCAGTCATGGAAATTCTCAGTTTACGTGAGCCGATTTCCCTAATATATATAATTTATGTATATATATGGATATATCCACATCTATATCCGTATTTATATCCTATTGGTTCTGTGAATGTGGAGAATTCTAATACAATACCCATGTTAAACTTATAATATTGGAAAAGTTTTGGGATCTTTATTATTTAAGTTTCCCCATCCCCAACCAGTTATTGCCAGAATCTTTTATACTTTTATGTATTTTGACTTTCCAAGAAGGGCATTTGTTATTCTTATTCAGAAAATTACTTTACCAGCCCCCTCTAGTTTTTCAGAAGAAGGTATGAACTTCTGTAGAATTTGGCAAAAGCAGTTTTCATTTTTAAAATGTCCTGGACTGTGCATTTAGGGAGAAACGTTATTGGTATTTTCAGCAGGGAATAGATTTAAGAATATCTGTTTTTTAGGGGCAATAAGGCTCTGTGTGTGTGTGTGTGTGTGTGTGTGTGGTTTGGGAAGAAACAAGTGGGGAATTATGAAATTGAGCAAGAGATGAATAAATACAAGGAAGAGAGAAGGATTTTGTGAATAGGTTGTCCAAGCATCCCAGGCCTTGATTTATCATGCATACAACAATCAGGGTTGTTGCTGTTGTTGTTCTAAGCCAATAGAAAAAGGACATATAAAGTTATTCTTTCAATATACTGTTGAATTTAAATAACAGATATATAATGCATGGTATATTCATTAGAGAAATTAAACTATAATTTCCATGTCTATCTCTATATTTTTATTGGAATATTTGGATTTGAAATATTTAAAATTTTTAAAGTGATCAACAAGACTTCAGGTAAAATGAGAATGTACTGCTGTGTAAAATGTTAAATAAAAATCTCCACACAATAAATTAGAAACCTACATATATTTATATATTTTTTAATCTACAGGTTAATTCTACTTTAGGGGATGAATTGTGTAACTTATTTTACAAATATGCATGTCGTCCACTTAGAAAATGCATTGCTATAAAATCTTCATTTATGTAAGATTTTAAATCAAAGGAACACTCTACCATATCTGGGCTTACCTTTTGGTGTTTCTACCTAAGCTCCTATTCCTATTCTGTCACCAGAAATAAGTTTCATCCATTGACACTAAAATTACTTATCTTCATTGGGTTTCTTTGTCTTACAAGGGCCAACTTACCTTCTAACTTTTGTCCCTCCAGATTAATGAGTTTTCTGGTTTTGCCAGGATGCCTTTTAACTTTCTTTCTCTAGAAGGCACTTATTTCTGGATGCTTCAATCTTACAAGTTTTTCCAAGTTGCTGCCGTGACTTTGGCTCCCTCCCATAATTTTAGGGCTGATGTATGTGTGTTATTTTGCCCTTCATTTATATTTATCTTTACCTATTTTGTCAAATGTTTGAAAAATATATTGGAAGCTTGTATTCATACTGCAATAGTTTTTGGACAAATTTTAACAATAATTTATGAAAACATTGTTGAATATGTTATACATATATTCAATAAGTTACAATGCAGCTGATTTATGAACAAAAAACTTGAAGAGACTATTTTTTATGTCTTGGATAATTTAATATTTTCAAACCATTTACATTGTTTTTATTTTGGTATGAGTTTTTCTTCATTTTATTTTCAGATATGGAATTCTCAAAAATGTTATGTTGAAAGAATCTGAGATACAATGTATGGATTGAATATTTTATTTACACAGTATTTTGTCATAAAATTTAAACACGTAATATTGACCAGATTTTATGAATTATGATTACTCTCTCCATATGCAGTCTATGCCATTTTCCGTTGTGAAATACTATAATTTTATATTACTGGAAATTCCTTTTACATGATTCTAGCGTTGTATATGCAGTTCTGTTCATTAAAGTGCTATTTTCATTCAACACTATTTGCAGAAAACAACAATCAAGTGTTCTTATTCTACAAATTAGATAATTATTACTTAACACTGACCTTTCTTTTCATTAAACACTTACTCATTTCGTTGATGTAAATAGCATCATGAAAATTAAAGATGCAAGTTTCTTCAAAAATTAGCTCAATGAATTAAGACTAAGTAAAACATAGTATGTCCCATCAAATTATTAAAGTTAATATTTTCCAGTTCATAAAATTTAGTATAAATATAATTTTTCAAATTTCACCTTTTTACTAACATATTATTTGTTTTTCTTACGTATTAGTGAAGGTATAATTAAATAACAAGTCAAATCTTATTTGAGAAGTAACATAATTTTTTTAATGTATGATATTCCCAGTTTTTCACAATGGAGAATTTTTTATAGGAAGAAAAAGAGTTTAACTATTAATCCCTCATTTTTAAGTTGTTTTGTTTTTAACATATTGGTTTATCTATCAATGGCACGTTTTCTGAACAAAAACATTTTGAACCAGATAATTTCTCCTGTTCTATTTTAATGATAACATACTTAAAAAGTACTTTGATTCAGAGAAATAGTTTATATACTGACAATGCTAGCTTTTATAAAACCTATGTGTCTATTATAATCGATCAATTCCTACGTGTTAAATGATTTCTAATTTACATTTCTTGTAGTATGAATATTGAAAGTAATGCATATGGACTTAAAGTTCACATTTAGTTTTCAAATGTAGTATCACAATTTCTTGTTAATCCCTTCTTTTGAATTTGTCAAGTAAATGCATGTATGTATATACATCCACAGTATACCTATATGTGTGTGTACATACACACATACACACAGATAATATACATACACATACATACATAAATACATAACTCACAGTTCTTGGTTGTTGTATTTGTTTTTTTAGATCCATACTCTAGCTGCCACTAGTGACCTGCAAGCTGGTTTGTACTTCACAAAGCTTCTCACCCGGCAATCATTAAACCCCAATCACATTGGGCAAGCTTCTATATTTATTAGGATGGCAAGAAGATGTATCTGAACATGTTTTTAAAGTGATCAGTATATTTCTTAGACAATTTCTATCTTCCTCAACATTTGTAGCTTGGTTAGGAATATTACTAGAATGAGACAGAAAAATTTTTATGTTTAAACACAAGCAGTGTTAAAAAGTTGCAATATTTCCCTTATTATAAAAAGGACTATAATCAAGTATAAGTTATAAATAGTTTATATATTATAAATAACTGCACAATTAACAATTTAGATTTTATATATGTATGCATACTACAAAAACATCTGTGATATTTAATTACACAAAAGATTTGAATAAGGTAAGAAAATATCCCATATGAAACTCCATTGAAACTAACATACAAGCAATGAACAACAAAAATTGATAAAATTGAGTTTCACATATTTATTTTGATATATTTGTAGCAAGAGAGAGTATAAAGCACTTTATAAAGTTTTTGAAATATAGTGCACATTCAAAAATAACTTTTATCAATTACAATTATTAGTACAGATTTCATATGCATAATGAGGTGATATGTGAGGAAAGAAAAATATTAGTTTTTGCTTTAAGATTTTGTTCTGTAGTTTCTATTGGCCAATAGGCCTGTTATATTTTTAATAATTAGCATCAAATTTAAACATTATAGTTGATTATTTTTCAAAGAACATGTGGCATTCTTATTAGGATAAATGGAGTAATGATTTGACTAGTAAATGTTTTTTTTTTTCATTCTGTAAATAAAAAGACACAAAGTAAATTTTCACAAGCATATCTGTATAGCTTCATTCCACCAGAGACTATATTCAAGCACAGAAGAAAAGGAGAGAATTTTTTCTCTTTTCTGTGATAATGGGAGCAATATTTATGAATAATTGCTCATGAATTAAGATAGTTAAAACTGCCCCCAAAGACTCTTATATTAACTTTTATACTAGCATTTCTCTTCTACTCGCATCACTCTCTTTTTTCACTCATAAATTTAGAGCTATATACCAGTTTTTATGAAATATCATTATCAGAAATTTATCTTCCCCCAAATTTTCAACAAAGGGCAAAAATAATAACAATATCAAATTTTTATTTTACTATTGAAGTTACCTTTCATGGGGTAAGACAAAGATCATGGATGGAAGTCTAACATCAAAGAGAGCAAACTTTTAGTAAAAGAAAATTAAAAGGCCAGATTTTCAAGAAATTGTAGCATTAAGGGTACAGATAAGGTAACCTAGATTTTAGGCACAATACTGTAGCATTTATGCACAGTACTTGAGTTTCTGGTGTTCAAAAAGTTTTTCATCACCTTTATTTTGTTTCTATATTTTTTTAGCTGATTCCAGTTTTATTTACAAAATTGAATAGCAAAGCCTAGCCACTGGAGATGATTAATAGAGTTGATAGAGTGTTGTGTACTAAGAAAAGGCACATAATGCTAGTGGTTCTATGAACAAAATACATGTCCCAAGCTTGGAGTTTCTGCTTTTCATTGTGGTGTCAAGAATAATAGTAGATATATCCTGATAGGTGATGTGTGATGTGTTAGAGTAGAATTTAGAGTGGTGTTTTGATGCCATTTCTGTTTTTGATGCAAACTGAATTCAAGATAAATTCTAAGAGTTGGTAGGGAGGGTCTTTTTGCATATTTATTAAATAAATCAATTTTATAAAGAGGATTGTAAATTGTTTAAATTACTCGTAGAGCTAGTTGAAGAGTGTCACACATTGGTTACAAAAATAAGCCATGGAAAAAAACATGTGGGATTAAAGCCATCATCTTTCACTCACCACCAGCTTTGGTTTGACGTATGTTGATTTTAGCATCTTGAGCGTAAGTTTATTTATGGGTTCAAATAAACAACAATCTTAAATCATAGTGTTGCAGTGAGAATTAAATGAATAACACATATAAAGTAACACTGTAAAACATTTAATGACTTATTTCATAAGTATTAACTAGTTTAAGTATACATAAATAATATATTCATTTTTTGGATAAAATAATTAAAATATTGATATATGGCTACAAATTCAATGAACATATAGGTACAATTTTATTGGTTATTTACTTTATTATACCTGGCCATATTTGGAAAAAATAACTCATGACATAACAAAATTAAAATATGTTATATAACAATATGAAGGTTAAGGTAAATTAAATTTTACGCAGACTTTCTTGAGTCTTTCTTGCTTCCCCGCTAGTCCTGGAGAAACAAGCTGCTGTGCTGTGAACTGCTTATGGTGGACACTGTGTGTCAGGAATGTAGGCTGTCTCCAGACAATAAGGACCACTTCTGACCAACAGCCAACAAAACACTGAATTTTTTTTTAGCAATATGAATGAATGTGGAAGTGGATTCTCCTTCTGTCAAGCCCATAGATGAGAATGCAGCCTGCCTGACAAATTTACTACAGCCTGAAGTGATGCTAAAGCAAAGAACTAAGCTAATCCATACCCAACTCTTGACCTGAAGTAACTGTGAGACAATAAATATGTGTTGTTTTAAGCCACTAATTTTATGGCAATTTGTCATGCAACAATCAAAAATTAACACAATTCCTTTCATTTTCCACTGATTTTAACCACATTTTTAATTCTATTCTCTCTGTCTCCTAACAGCAAGCATTTCTGGACCTTCTCTTTGCATATTTGCTCTTTTCTCAGCTATTGCCTACTCCTACATAATTCTGAGGTTAAGATTTCTTTGCCCTTTTCTTTCCAATTCCAATGTGGCAGGTTAAGACCATAGCTATTTTTAACCTCTCCCATACTAATGCAACTAAATGCAATACAACTATGGCATTAATAGTTATAGACAAACTGGTAAAAATGAGAGGATACTATTTAGAAAAGACCTCAGAATAGAAATTGTGATAACAGTAAAGCCTAGTTGAGTAGTCTTAAATAATCTATCACAATGTACATAAAATCACATCATTTTAATTTTACTTTATTGGTTGTAGAATATGCCAATATACTTTTTAAAATGTGACTTCACTAAACACCTTCAAGATCATTTTAACAGTATTACTTTTTACATGAAGAAATTTAGATTCAGAAGGGCTAATATTCCCAAAGTTAAACAGCCAATTAAATGCTACAGCTTACACTGTAATCCAGACCTATAGATGGCTATGTGTATGATTTCTTAATTAAGCCAGTAATTTTCAATCTGTACTCAGTAAATCTTCTAAATGTTAACCCTCCTTTTTCATAGTATACCACTAACAATCTAATCTTCTGAATATTTCTTTTTTTCATCAATTTTACATATTTTGATTTTGTCCTTATCAGAATGCCATTATCATTATATAATGTTTTCAGTTGTTAAACATCTTTAAAGCCATTGTTTAATTAATGCTGATTTCATCATTTGATTATGATACAGCAGTGTTCTATAACAAATTTTATGATAGTTCATCTACATTGTAATGGTTCAGGGGCAGTGCTTGGTAGACGTAAAATAAACATAAGAGAAATGTCTCCTTTCATTGTTCAACTGTTAGATGAATGTGTAATCTCTTTGACTTTAAGCTGGTCTAGCCTTATATTTCCCAGCTAGAAGGTAGTCAGTGTATGGAATCCTAGAATTAACTATGACTATGAGTAATAACTATTAAGTATCATGTTTGCATATGAAGAACTTGAAGCCTAGAGAGGGAGAGATACGTTTTAGTGATACTTAACTGAATATATAATCAGTAAAAAAAGATTTGATATTTTAGCTTTAGTATTCTTTACAATACTAATTACATAATCAAGTTTCCCAATGCAATATTCGTTTGAGAGTCTTCCTCAGGACAGATAAATTGATTACAGTACTAAGAATTAATTATTTCAACATAAAGTGGAAATAAATATTGGTTGAAAAAAGTTTAAATTCAATTCTGCCAGTTAATTGAAAGTTTTATTCTTTCATCAGGAGGCTATATCTTAGGTATAAATGAAGAAATTGATGCCATACTTGATGTTTCCAACAGCCCAGGATCCTAAAATAAACAGAAATCAGTCTTAATTATTTAATGTAGATAGTAAGATTTCTACAACATGATTAATAGGATAGAAGGAGTTGAAATCTGTGGGCTAATGTGTGACTATTATAAGTTTCAAGATAAATCTACCATACCTAAATTCAAAGGTCAGAAAGCCCCTGTCATTACTACTACTACCATTTCTCTCACTGCAGCTGCCTAAAAGCCATGAATCTGAACCAAGTCCTGGAATGTGAAGTCTGACAACCACAAAAAAACTATATCCTCGGAGCTTGCTTGCCACTCTTCGCGGCCATGGGAAGAAGCCCTCTTATCACCTCTACTTTTTATAATTCGTGCAAGTGCTTCTCATTACCAATACCTCACTTAGGTTACTTTTAGCTTCAGAGGATCTGAGAAATGCCATTTTAAAAATACACTTGCCCTGTTGTAACAGAGAATTTAAAAGGAAAAAGGAAGAAATGTCATAAACAATAAACCGTTTTACAGATAAAAAAATTTATCTCTACCTCAATATGGAACATGAAAAAACAGAACTATAATATAGAGAGAAAAATAATTAAAATTGTGTAAGTCTAGTTAAAGATAACTAAAATTTTATTCCACTGGGTTGTAATTATCTAAATCCATTAACTGCAAAACAATATATCTTTCTCATTCACATGTGTAAAAAAAAGTGTCAACATACAGAAAAATTTAAAATTGCTGAATTAAACTTTATTATTATGTTTTGTATTAGTAGACTGCAAACTTATACAATTACAATTTTTAATATCAGTCTTCTTTTTTCTAAGATGGTGTTGGAGGCAGTGTTAGCATGTCTCTCCCACTTGGAAAGACAAAATAGTGAGTAGAGATTCATACTGTAAACTTTTTTTCCAAGAAGCAATGCAGGAACTTAATAGGAAAACTGAAAGAAATCACAGAACCTTTGAAAGAAATGACAGGCTGCATCCTACACTGTGAGCCAGGAGAAAAACTGTAAGTCTCCAGAGTGCAAGAAGGGGAGAGACTGCCTCCAGGATATGAGCCCCCATGGGAGAGCCTGGGAATCCAGCCCACAGGGGAAGGCCTTAACCCTTCTCAATGTTGGAACTCAATGCTGAAATAGGGAGTAGTGGGGAATATAAAACTAGGGACAACAGCAGGAGGAGCACTGCATGCATCACCAGTCTCCAGCATGGACTGAGGGAAGCCATTCCTGGTCTGCGTCCCAGGGAACCTTGTGGAAGGCTGTTAGAAACTCAGGCAGTGGTTGAACATTGAGAAAAGCTCACAACTAAAATGCACAATGTAATCTCAAGTGAGGATGAACTCCCTTGTCCAGACCTGGGGAGCATGTGGCAAGTGTGCTGCAGCCATGAGCAGAGGAGCTGTACACCTCACTGTGTGGGTAAGCAAGGAGGGTCACAGCCTAAAAGCTGGGGTTCCTGTCACCATGAGAAATGCTTATGGCCTGGGGCAGTTTTGGGTTCTGACTGTAGACTGCCTGGAATTTAGCTAACTCTTGCTAGTGAACACTCCAGATGAGAGACCTGCTTTGCCAAGTCTATGAAAGTTGGGTGAGGCTTACTTACTGTCACCTGCTACTCCCCACTCCCTGCATGAATTCTTCTGTGCAGCGGAGGCAGCTACAGTCCTCCCTGGAACATTATCACAGTGGCCAGAGAAACACCCTGTGACTCCTACAGGAGCCTCTGTTTGTCCTGCTTGTGGAAAGACAGACTTTGGACCTGCCTGACCCAACCCCACCTGGCTTTTCGCTTTCACGCATGCTGGTAGCTTAACACAATGGACAGAAATTTTGAAAACACTGTGGCATGGCCCATTGTCTGAGAAAACAGTAACTACCCTGGGTAACATAAGGCAAACACAAATCCCACCACTACTACTGCAGCTGGCACTCTTTTGCAAGTGCCACCTCCTGGCTGTGGGCCAACTGACAAGAGTCCATTGTGGAATCTACAAGTAGTATAACAGTGTGCCTAGAAGGGAGAAAACTTATGTGCGACCATTGCCTGCACCATCCTGGCTAACCAGGAGGTCCTAAGTCTGTCCACATGACCAATTCATTACTACTGCAACTGGAAATTTGAGAACCCTAACATGCTAAGGCTATTTATAACACTATCTCACATAGTCAGTGTTACTCTTTTGCCACCCCCATCAGAGCAGGAGATGGTACATACTTCTGGGAGCCTTGAGGACAAGTCACATTACTGGCTCCCTTACAGACATTCCCCAGCATCAGCCTGCAGCTGAACCCAGAGGAGCAACAGCATTCACAGTAGTCTGGTTTTCAGGAACTAGTACTTCCAGGGGAAGAGGGAGTGTACCACATCAAGGGAACATCCCACTGGTGGGAAGTTTCTTTCAGCAGAGGCACAGTTGCAGTGCTGGATTAAATAAATAAATAAAGTCTGCAGCTTTATCTCAACAGAGAGGCAGACGTGGTGCTCATCAAGGGTCTTGGAGAAGGGTATTCCTTTCCCCCTCATCCACCACTGCAAAAACAGCTGGGGCCTCTCCCATGGAAGCTCAGTGTGGGTGCACCTATAGACAGCCTTTCTGAAATACTTCAGGGTAAACATAATTCCTGTCTACTTGGAAGATCAACATTCCTGCAGGTGAAAAAAGAAAAAAAAGTGTCTCTGTGATCTGAATAGCCAGAACACTGTGACAAGAATGCCATCTGGGAGGTAAATCATCTTTCTGCTAGCCTGACAGAGGAGCAGAGGTGGCTTTTACTCTTCCCCTGATAAGACCTCAGTGTGTTTCACTGAAAGCTTCCAGCAACCTCTGCTTTGTCAAGGCTGTGGCCTCTGCCCACCAATGGGTATTGCATTTACCTACCTATTTTAGCCATAACTGGTTTCTACCCCAGGACATTGTCCCTGCGGGCCTGAAGTCTGAAATATTCAACTCAGTCAATAAAAGACTAAATAAATAAATAAATAAATAAATAAATTGCCCAACATGGGAGAATGAGGTAAGCTTCAGTAGACCTCTGCCATTCCAACCCCATAGGAGATAGTAAACTCTCTGACACACCAAGCACATTGCTACTACAACCAGTATCTGAGAAAGTCATCATACAATGACTCTCTATAACCAATGACCTCATATGAAGACTTCATCCTTGAAAGCACCAAGAGCTGAATTAGGCTACCATAAACTATAAACATTAAAGTCACATATTTAATGGGGGGAAGAAGAAATTTTTAAAAAGAAGTCAAATAAAAAATAAATTCAATAATAATTAGAAGAAATAGTCTACCAAACGAGAAGAAATTAGAAAAATAATTTTCATAATATGACAAAACAAGATTCTATAACACCCCCAAAAGATCAGATTAATCCTCCAGCAATGGATTCAAATCAAGATAAAACATTCGAAATACCAGATAAAAATTCAAAATGTTGACTATTAAGCTACCAAATGAGATACCAGAGAAAGGTGAAAACCAAATAAATAAATTTAAAAAACAATTCTGGATATGAATGAAAAAATTTTTGTAAGACATAAATATTTAAAGAAAAGCCACTAAGAACTTCTTAAATGAAAGACATATTTAGGAAATTACAAAATGCCATGAAAAGTTTTAACAATAGAGTAGAAAAAGTAAAAGAAAGAATTTCTGAGCTCAAAGACAAAGCTTTTGAATCAACCCAATTAGACAAAAATAAAGAATAAAAAGAAACAAACAAAGTCTCCAAGAAATAAAGGATTATGTAAAGTGGCCAAACCTAAGAATAATTGATGTTCCTGAGGGAGAAGAAAAAGCAAAAAGTTTTGAAAACTTATTTGAGGGAATAATTAAGGAAAACTTCTCTGGCCTTGCTAGACATTTACATATACAAATATAAGAAGCTCAAAGTACTCCCGGGAGATTAATCATAAAAAAATACTTTAGCAAGGATTATAGTCATCAGTGTATCCAAAGTCAATGAGAAAAAAAGAATACTGAGAAGAGTGAGACAAAAGCACCAGGTAATCTATAAAGGAAAACCTATCAGACTAACAGCAGACTTGTTACCAAAAAACCCTGCAAGTCAGAAGAGGCTAGGTTCCTATCTTTAGCCTCCATAAACAGAATAACTCTTAGCCAATAAGACATGAAGGAAAAATAGAGTCATTTTTAACAAACAAATGCTGAGGGAATTTATTACTACTAGAACAGCCCTACAGGAAATGCTAAAGAGAGTTCTAAATCCTGAAGTAAAGAGTATTCACCAATATAGACTCTCTTGAAGGCATAAAACTCACAGGGCCTAAAAAATAAAAACACAGTGAAGAAATCAAAGTATCTGGGTAATAACTAACATAATGACTGGAACAGTTCCTAAATCTCAGTATTAATGCTGAATATGAATGGCCTAAATGCTCCAGTTAAAAGATACAGATTGGCAGAATGGATTAAAAAAAAAATCACGAGCCAAATATCTGCTATCTTCAAGAGACTCACCTAACATGCTAGGATTTATATAAACTCAAAATAAAGGGGTGGAGAAAGATATGCCAGGTAAATGGAAACCAGAACTATAATCTAGAACAAATGGACCTAACAGGTATTTTCAGAACATTCTACCCAAGAACTACAGAATATACATCCTTCTCATCAGCAAATGGAACATTCTCCAAGATAGACCATACGAAAGGCCACAATACAAGTCTCAATAAATTTAAAATTATCAAAATCATATCAAGTATCTTCTCAGACCACAGTGGAATGAAACGAGAATAAACTACAAAAGGAACCCTCAAACCTATAGAAATACATGGAAATTAAGCCACTTGCTCCTGAATGATTTTTGGGTTAATGATAAATTCAGGATCAAAATTTAAAAATTCATTGAAATGAATAACAATAGAGATACAAGCTATCACAAATTTACAACTTAATGTCACACCTGAAGAAACTTGAGAAACAAGAACAAACTAAACCTGAAGCTAGCAGAAGGAAATAAATAACAAAGAGCAGAAATAAATTGAAACAAAAAAGTAGAAAAAGCAATGAAACAAAACTTGGTTTTTTGAAAAGACAGACAAAATTGTTAGACAATTAGCTAGATTAACCAAGAAAAGAAGAGAAGATTCAAATAAATTCAATTATAAATGAAACTAGAGACATTACAGTTTATGGTACAGAAATGCAAAAGATTATTTGAGACTACTATGAACACCTCTATGCATGCAAACTAGAAAATCTAGGGGAAATGGATAAATTCCTGCAAACATGCAACCCTCCTGGATGAAGTCAGAAATAAATAGAAACTGTGAACAGATGAATAACATGCAGTGAGATTGAATCAGTAATTTAAAAATTGCCAAGGAAAACAAAAATCCTAGGGCCAGATGGATTCAGAGGTGAATTCTACCAGAGATTAAAAGAAGAATTTGTGCTGCTCCTAACTGAAACTATTTGAGAAGATTCAGAAAAAGGGAATCCTTCCCAACTCAATTTATAAAGCCAGTATCACCCTTATACCAAAACCAGGAAACGACATCATAACAACAAAAAAACTACAGACCAATATGCCTGATGAACATAGATGCAAAATTCCTCAACAAAATTCCAGCAGCAGCTCAAAAAGGTAATATATCATGATCAAGTGGGTTTTATCCAAGGACAGCAGGGATGGCTTAACATGTGCAAATCAATAAATGTGTTATATCACATAAACAGAATTTAAAACAAAATCCACAGGAACACCTCAATAGATGCAGAAAAACATTCAATAAAATCCTGCATCCATTTATGATAAAAACACTCAATAAACTAGGAATAGAAAGGACTTACCTCAAAATAATAAAAGCCATATATGACAAACCCAAAGCCAAATTTTCCCCATATTACTGAATGGGGAAAAGTTCAAAGCATTCCCCTTGAGAAATGGAACAAGACAAGGATGCCCACTTTCACCACTTATAGTCAATATAGTACTGGAAATCCTATCCACAGCAATCAGGCAACAGAAAGAAATAATGAGCATCCAAATGGGAAGTCAAATTATCACTATTTACCCATGATGTGATTTTATAGCTAGAAAACCCTAAAGATTCCTTCAGAAGACCCCTAGATTTGATGAACAAATTCAGTAAAGCCTCAGATTACAAAATCAATGTGCACAAATCAGTAGCATGGCTATGCACTAACAGTGACCAGGCTGATAATCAAATTAAGAGCTCAATCCATTTTACAACAGCTGCGAGTTAAAAAAAAAAACAAAAAACAAAAAAGAACCTGGAAGTATACTTAACCCAGGAGGTTAAAGATGTCTACAAGGAGAACTGCAAAACACTGCTGAAAGAAATCACAGATGACACAAGCCAGTGGAAACACATCTTATGCTCATTAATTGGAAAAATTAATATTATGAAAATGATTGTACTGCCCATAGCAATTTACAGATTCAATGCAATTCCTTTCAAGATACCAATATCACTTTTCACAAATAGCAAAAACAATTCTAAAATTCGTATAGAAACAAAAGAGAGCCTGAATAGCCAAAGCAATTCTGAAAAAAGAACAAATCTGGAGGCATCACATTACTTGACTTCAAATTACAGTAGAAAGATATAGTTATCCAAACAGCATGGTACTGGTATGAAAGCAGGGACATAGACAAATGGAACAGAATAGAGAACCCCGAAATAAAGCCAAATACTTAAAACCAACTGACCTTTGATAAAGCATACACAAACATAAATTGGGGAAATGACACCCTATTTAATAAACGATGCTGGGAAAATTGGCTAGTCACATGTAGAAGAATTAAACCAGATCCTTGTCTCTAACCGTATACAAAAATCAACTCAAGATGGATCAAATACTTAAATCTAAGACAGGAAACTGTTAAAATTCTAGAAGATAACCAAAGAAAACTCTTCTGGATACTGGGCTAGGCAAAGAATTCATGACTAAGAACCCAGAAGCAAATGCAACAAATAGAAAAATAAATAAATAAATAGGACCTAATTTAACTAGTATAGTAAAAGTAACAATCATCTGAGTAAACATACAGCCCACAAAATGGGAGAAAATATTCACAAACTATGCATCTAACAAAGAACTAATATCTAGAATCTACAAGAAACTCAAACAAATTGCAAAACAATTAATAATCTTATCTAAAGGTGGTCAATGATATGAACTGACGCTTCTCAAAAGGTATGCAAATGGCCAACAAATATATGAAAAAATGTTCAACATCACTAATCACTGGGGAAATACAAATTTAAACCACAAAAAGATATCATTTTACTCTTGCAAGAATGACCATTATCAAAAAGCCAAAAAAGAATAGTTGTTGGCATGGATGTGGTGAAATGAGATCGCTTGTATACTGCTGGTGGTAATGTCAGTTAGTACAACCTGTATGGAAAACATTGTAGAGACTTTTTAAAAATTATTTTTTCTGAAACAGAGTCTTGTTCCATTGCCCAGGCTGGAGTGCAGTGGTGATTACAGCTCACTGTAGCCTCGACCTCCTGGGGTCAAGTATTCCTCCTGCCTCAGTCTCCCAAGTAGCTGGGGCTAGAGACACATGCCACCACACCCAGCTAATTTGTTTGTTTTTTTGTTTGTTTATTTTTAGAGATGTGGTTTCCCATGTTGTCCAGGCTGGTCTAGAACTCCTGGGCTCAAGCAATACATCAATCTTGGCCTCCCAAAATGCTTGGATTACAGGCTTGAGCCACCATGCTCAGCTGAGATTTCTTAAAGAATGAAAAGTAGATCTACCATTCAATCTAACTATCCCACTACTGAGTATATGGGAAAAAGAAAAATTAATCCAACTCAAGATGAGCATTCTATTCCTTGTGAAGGAGATAATTTTTACAAAAGATAAAACTTCACATTTTGAAAAAAAAATTTCTGTATTTCTATTTCTTTCTCAACAGAATATTATTTTTACTTAAAAATCCTGATTTTTTCCTGTTCTGTTGTAATATCTTGCATTATATAATTATATTCTTAAATAGTTCAGTATTTATCACAGGAGTACATTGCCTAACTTAACATGTAACATTTTCACTTTACAACTCTTCAAGTATTTACTTTAGGGGTATTAGGTACTTCCTTTTGTATACATCATGGTACAAGGTAAAAATATTATTTTTGAAATGTTAATTTCCAAAAATAAATTAATTTGAAGTAACTTTATGATTTAGATTACATTGGTACCATTGATAGCTAACTTTTCACCTTTTTGCACATGGAACATATTTGTCTTAAATTCTAATTTTAGTACAAATCATTGAGACACCAACAGTAGGATAATTTTTAATTTAACTTCATATATACTCAAATACATAAAAATCCATTGATTTATTATTTTAAAACATATTTTTGTCAGGTAAGCATTTTAGTGCTTAATATTCTGAAATGACACCAAAACTTTCAAAGTTTTATTATAATAATTATATATTATAAAAATGTTAAATTCACTGAGCTTTTAAAATAAGATTTTTAACCTCACAGTAGTAAATTTGAAACTTATTTAGATCTTAGTGGTTATCTACTTTAGAAAGATATATAGAAAATGACAGCTATATGAGATTGCTGACATGTTAATTAGTTTAATTTTAATAATCATTTCACAATGTATACATATGTCAAAATATCATGTACATCATTAATATATATAATTTTGTCTATTATACTTTATTAAGCTGGGAGAGAATAAGAAGAAAATTAAGAGCAACAAAATCCAGTCTATCGTTGTTGGACATTTGGGTTGGTTCCAAGTCTTTGCTATTGTGAATAGTGCCACAATAAACATACGTGTGCATGTGTCTTTATAGCAACATGATTTATAATCCTTTGGATACATACCCAGTAATGGGATGGCTGGGTCTAATGGTATTTCTAGTTCTAGATCCCTGAGGAATTGCCACACTGTCTTCCACAATGGTTGAACTAGTCTACAGTCCCACCAACAGTGTTAAAGGGTTCCTATTTCTCCACATCCTCTCCAGCACCTGTTGTTTCCTGACTTTTTAATGATTGCCATTCTAACTGGTGTGAGATGGTATCTCATGATAGACTGGATTAAGAAAATGTGGCACATATACACCATGGAATACTATGCAGCCATAAAATATGATGAGTTCATGTCCTTTGTAGGGACATGGATGAAGCTGGAAACCATCATTCTCAGCAAACTATCACAAGGACAAAAAACCAAACACCGCATGTTCTCACTCATACGTGGGAATTGAATAATGAGAACACCTGGACACAGGAAGGGGAACATCACACACCGGGGCCTGTTGTGGGGTGGGAGGAGGGGTGAGGGATAGCATTAGGAGATATACTTAATGTTAAATGACGAGTTAATGAGTGCAGCACACCTACATGGCACATGTATACATATGTAACAAACCTGAACGTTGTGCACATGTACCCTAGAACTTAAAGTATAATAAAAATATATATATACATATATATACACATATATATACATATATACACACATATATACACATATATACACATATACATATATACACATACGTACATATATACACATATATACATATATATATAAAAGAGCTACAAAAAAAGTCAAATAGTCAAACAACGAACAAAGATATGCAGGATACATATTTAAGTCAAAACATAAATAAACAATCCAACAAATATTAACAGATCATCTGTTATATTCCACATATGATACTCAGCACTTACATCACACCTAATAATTGGGAAATATAATTTCGCTCATAAGTATCTTAAAATAAAGCTTCAAAAATATAACTCAATACATAACATAGCAACATAAAGTGCTAAGGATTTTTAAATAAATTTTTCAGTAGAATAATACCAAACAAGAGAAATGAGTTAATCTAAGAGTAGTTGATGGGCCATAATGAAGTGGGGACTGAGACATTAAAGACTAAGTGATTTGTATTTAACAAAAAATGAAAATAAAGCCAATAGATACAATTATTTTGGTTAACTCTTCATTATTATACATGCATGCAAATTTTTTTATTAAATGACACAAAGAAATTCTCTAAAATATTTTGTGTTACTATTCCTGGATTTTATTGTCTTTGATTCATTCATATTGCACAATGTACAAATGTCCATGCTTCCTAAAGACTCAAGAAAAAAATAAACAATATAAGCTTAGGGGTATCACCAAGTTGACTAGAGGAAGTTTGACCTGGTATCTATTATCCTTGAAACCACCAATGGCAATAAAACTCCATTCAGTGGACCATCAGGGTGCATAAACTGCAGGCCTAATTTGAATGTAATAGCTGAACGCCGCCACTCATGACTGGCTAGCTTAGAAAGTTTTCCCCAATTATTTTCAATAACCTGAAAGTAAAGTCATCCTGCAATTTAAGTGAATGGATACTCTGTTCCTTACTTATCAAGTTACAGTAAAGTTTTATCTTATTGTGGCATCTCCTCAGTACATCACTTGAAATTTTCTGGGGGATGAAACAATATTTTCTGTTAAGTAAAATGACTAAAAAAATTCTACTCAAAAATTTTAGGAGTTTAGCCATGTGAGAAAGAATTTTATCTGAAAATCATTTCATAGTAAAGCTTCTCCTACATTTGCAGATAACTTTACATGGATTAAATCAATAACATGCTTCTGAATACCAAGTGTAAAAATTATCACATATTTGATGAAACTGACTTCAAAATGTTCAAATTCTGTTAAGTCTAATTTTAGGAAAGTATTCTTATTTGTAAATGTTTTAAACAATCAGTGCAAGATTCCACCTAATTTAAATTTTATTTGGTGGAGGATTACTTTCTCTTTTATCTTTCTTTTTTAAAATCACTTTCTAAAGCGACTATTACCATGGTCACAGTTATATTCTGCAACATGAGCAAAAACATTTTTAACTTAGAAATGTGTCCAGTACTATCTGTAAAGTCATTAAATATAGACAGTCTTACTAGTAACTTTTTTGTACTCCCTAGGTTTTTCTCTAATGATGAAGAACAGGGTGTGATTTCACTGGAATATGGTGATTACAATATTCTCTTACCTGATAAACATGACATGCTATAAATTTGATTGTGTAAAGTTAGAAAAGTTCTACACTTTATCTCATTATATCTTTTCCTGTAGCTACTCTACTGAAATAAAACCTTCAGTTTTTATATGCACAACTTTTCCATCACTCAAAATCAACTTAAAACTATAAATGTCCTATTTACCATTGTAAGTTTGAAGAAGAGTCAGAAGCAGTTTACAACTAAGATGAGCTTGAGTTAAACGTTTTTAAGCATTTAATTATTAAATTATTAAATTTTTACACAAAATTCCATACATATATACCTACACGTACTGCATCTTTAATAATTATTTAAATAGTTATTTGCAATAAAATCTTAGAAAATGGATTATTCAAGTATACAAGTAAATTCCACAGAAGTTAATCATCTATGCATCAGGGTTATTACATAACTATAATTATGACTTTCCTAGAAAAATGCTTCAGAGTTAAAATAACCAATATTTTGAAAAAAAAAATTTAAAAAAATCCTCAGAGTAATAAAACATCTATTGAACTTCTTTCTCTAAAAATTGAAATGCACTTAAATTACAGAATCTCATAATTCATGTGCAAAAAATACTCAACTATGAAGATTAAATGTTTGTTAAAGGGAAGAATTGGTGTTGGTGGAATAACCACAATAATCTACTTACTTTAAATTACAGGCTTGAGAAGAGATGAAACAGCTTCTCATCAAAGGTAATTCACGTTCAAATATCCATTCTGGGCAAGCCGAGTGCTCATCTACTTTCCCAGCTAAGATTCTGATGTCAGTGGCTGCTGCCATCGCGCTGACTGCTGCAGGGAGACAGGGTTGGGGCTGCACACTCCGTGGAGCCAGTGGAAGCCCCACCGCTTCTAAGTTGGGGCAGGAGCTCCCTAGATGCCTCTGCAGCCATCCAAACCATGGATACCGACCCAGGTGTCCTACTCTATGGAGCAGGCAGGAGCCCCACCCTCCTGGGTGGGGCTGCAGTTGCCCAAACTGTGGCTGTGGATGGGAGCCTCCCTAAGCTCTTGGTAGGGCGCCAGGAGCAGGCAGGGTCTGCCCTCCCAGGTGCAGCTGCAGCTGCCTCTCCTGTCTGCAGACCTGGGCCTCCAGCTCTAAGGAGAAGGCAGGAGCCCGGCCCAAACTGCTGCTGTGGATCTGAGCCTCCCTGTGCTCTTCAGGGTGGCTAAGAGCAGGCAGGATATTGCCTCTAGGGTGCAGCTGCAGACGGGGGCCTCTCACTCCACGGAGCAGGAAGGAGCCAGGGACAAACTGGACACCCGTCCCTTCCAAGCTGACAGGGCAGGAGCACCCCAGGTGCAGCTGCGGCTGCCCTACCAGGTGCAGGACCCGGGCGTCTCTGCAGCCTTCACTCTCAGGGTCGGGGAAGGCCCCCAGTCCGGCTTGAGGATGTCTGCTCTCCCTGCCTGGCCTCTCTCCCCTCCAGGAACCTGCTCCAACCTCAAAGCAGGATAGAGGCTGAGCCCCGGGGCCATGAATGGCAGCTAGAGGAAAACAGATTCCTGGGCGGAAGTAGGCAGGTTCCCAGGAAGCCTCACCTTCAGGTCAGGGAGAGCCTGAAGGCTGGGGGCTCTGGGCCCACCCATGGCCGCCCATGGACCAATCAACGTGCACTTCCTCCCCTTGAGGTTCATAAAACGCTGGGCTTAGGCAGAGCAGAGCAGAGGATGGCCAGAGGATGAAGAAGGCAGAGAGAAGACAGGAGTACCAGCTGCAGAGAGGAGCTACTGCTTCTACTAATAGCTGGAGATGACGGAACAACCAGTTGCAGAGAGGAGCTATCCTCTCTGCTGAGAGCTGCAAAGACCACCTGCTGGCAGAGAGAAGCCACCCTCTCAGGGCCTCCTTTCCGCTGAGAGGTTGGGACAACCAGTTGCAAAGAGGAGCTACTCTCTCCAGGGCCTCCTCTCTGCTGAGAAATGAATACTTGATGGATGATCTACAGAGAGAAGCACTATGGGACTTCTCTGAGTTGTTGTAACACTCAATAAACCTCATCTTCATCTTGTTCTCCCTTCACTTGTCTGCTTACTTCATTCTTCCTGGGTGCAGGACAAGAACTGTGCAAAGGCACTGTAGCCACAGAAGTTTCTGGCCAGAAAATTGATACCCCAAAGATCCCATTAAAATTCCAGGAGCAAGACCTGTGTGCTGGAATAAAACATGGGCGGCAAACTGAGGAGCTGTTCTAGACAATAAACTGTTTGAAATGGAGATTTACATGCAGGAAGTTATTGGCTGGAGTTCTCTCTGAGAAAATAAAAATGTAAGATAGTGAGGGGATTAGGATTAGGCAGAGGCAAAAATTTAACTGAATACACTAAAAATGGAGGCCTCAGAAAATTCTACAGGGAGCTTTGCTGAGTTGTTTCGATTACAGTAAGAGAGTCAGGTATGGGTCTTTGAATTCCACATATATTGCCCTTTGGACACAGTCTGCCCTGGTTAGGAATGCAAGGTTAAGTGAGACGCTATTTTCTTCAATGTGTAAGATAAACTTCTACAAGTCTCCAATGTTTCCGTGAGTCTTGTGAGTGAGACACTAATTTTTATTTTTTTTTTGGACTATCTTTCCAAGGATGTTACTATAGTAAACATTCTTGGAAGATAGAGATTGTATCTCCCTCTGGAGCAAAGAGCAAATATACTTACTGCCCAGTATAGTAAAGAGAATACTTCCAGCTAGAGCCAAGAACAAGCATGCTAATGCCTATTATAAAAGATTCAATTGTTGAGTCCTTTTATGTGATGCAACCCAATATATGTACATACATTATCTGTACTGCTTTATGTCACACTTTAAAAGTTGCTGTTGATATTTTGATTCCTGCTGTTACAATGAGTAATAATGTATCCTTTGTGTCTGAACCAGGAATCTTATGCCTTCTATTAGCAATTATGAAATTGTGGCAGGCTAACTTGCTAGCTTGAAAATAGAGTATAATTTCACACTTTTCAGGATTCTCGACAGTAGTTAGCAGCAAGCACACTTTTAGTAATTGGGTGAAGAAGTGTCTTGATCCTGGAAGGAAGACCTGTGCAGTGCATCTTGGAATCCATCAAAACAGCCATGAGAAAATCTAGTAGTAAACATTCAGGGAAGAATCAAAATTTGTAATTTAGACTGATAGTATAAAGAAAACACCAATACAGAGAAATTCACCTCCATGATCCAATCACCTCCCACCAGGCCCCTCCTCCAACACTGAGCATTACAACTGGACATGAGATTTGACTGGGGATACAAATTGAAACCAGATTACTTACACATAATCAAATATTCATTTGAGTGCTAAGAATAGAATAATATCTTCTGAAATCCTGACTGATAGGTTTTTTCACCACAAAATTATAACATATCAAAAATAATTATATACATAAAAAGGAATGTCAGAAAAAGAATTAGGTGTTGAAAATATATTGACACTTTTATAGAACTATTTTATAATCTGTTTTTCTATTTGGAATAACTGATTTGGGTTGCGTGGGGTTTTTTTAATAAATATTGTAAAAAGTTAAGGTATTACTTAGTGGCCGGGTGGCTCATGCTTGTAATCCCAGCATTTTGAGAGGCTGAGGCGGACGGATCACCTGAGGTCAGGAGTTCAAGACCAGCCTGATCAAAATGGAGAAACCCTGTCTCTACCAAAAATACAAAATTAGGCATGGTGGCACAGGCCTGTAATCCCAGCTACTTGGGAGGCTGAGGCAGGAGAATCCCTTGAACCCGGGAGGTAGAGGTTGCGCTGAGCCAAGTTTGCACCATTGTACTCTAGCCTGGGCAACAAGAGTGAAACGCTGTCTAAAAAAAAATAAATAAATAAAAAAAAAAATAAAAAAAAAAAAGATGTTACTTAGTATTTGTACATATAAAGAGAAGGGTTATATGCATTAATATTTCCCAAATAATAAAAAAGTAAAGTATTTAAATGAACTTTGAACTTAAATTGTGGAAAAAAATAGACAATGTGAGAAATAGGATATTGAACCTGAGAAAAGCTAATTATCATTTCTGTAGTGAAAATAAGTTTGTAATTACCCAACCAAAATTGTAAGGGAAACATTTTATTTCAAATTCCTGTGGTGGTTAATTTTTGCTGTGAACTTGACTTTTCATCAAATATTCTAGTTGTGTTATGAGGATGTTTCTAGATGAGATTAACATTTGAATTGGTAGAAGATTGTCCTCCCTAATGTAGGTGGACCTTATGCCATCAGTTGAAAAGCTGAATAGAACAAAAAGGGTAAGAGAGAACTCTTCCTACCTGACTCTCTAATCTGGGAAAGCAGTGTTCTGCCCTTAAGTGGAACTTACACCATCCACTCTTGTCCTCAGGTCTTTGTATTCAGACTGCAATTGCACCACTGATTCTCTTGGGGCTCCCATTTGCTGACTGCATATCTGGGGATTTCTTAGACTAAGGAATTATGTGGGTAATCCATCTCTTTATAATAAATTATATGTGTGCAACTATACATAAGTACATATACAAATGATATCATAATATTATGGGGTATGTAAATTAAATTATAGAATAGAATACATAATATATATTATATATCTTAATAGGCTATAATACTATGTATACACTTGTGTGTGTGTGTGTATATATATGTGTGTGTGTATATATATATATATCTTTATTATTGATTCCATTTCTTTGGAAAACCCTAACAGGCATATCTCAGAGGTATTGCAGGTTTGGTTCCAGACTACCACAATACAACTAACATAGTAATAAAGAAAATCACACAAATTTTTTGGTTTTCCAATGCATATATGTTAGGTTGACATTACATTGTAGTCTATTAAGTTTGCAATAGCATTATGTGTACAAAAACAATGTACATACTTTAATTAAAAATACTTCATTGCCAAAAACGCTAATGTTCATCTTCGCCTTCACCAAGTCATAATCTTTTTGGTGGTGGATGGTCTTGCCTCTATGTTGACAGTTGCTGACTGATCAAGGTGATATTTGCTGAAGGCTGGGGTGTCTGTTGCAATTTCTGACAATACGACAACGATGAAATTTGTTGCTTCAATTGACTCTTTCTTTCATGAAAGATTTCTCAGTAGCATGTGATGCTGTTTGATGGCATTTTACCCATATTCTGAGATTGGGGTCAATCCTCTTAAACCCTACTGCTCTCTTATCAACTAAGTTTATGTTATATTCTAAATCTTGTGTTGTCATTGCAACAATGTTTCTAGCATCTTCACCAGGAGTATATTCCATCTCAAGAAACCACTTTCTTTGGTCATCCACAAAAAGCAATTCCTCATCCATTAAAACTTTATTAGGAGATTGAAGCAATTCAGTCACATATTCACATTTCACTTCTAATTCTAGCTCTTTTGCTATTTCCACCACATCTTCGTTACCTCTTCTACTGAAATCTTGAACCTCTCAAGGTCATCCATGAGAGGTGAAATCAACTTCTTTCAAATTCTTGTTTACGTTGATATTTTGACCTCCTCCCATGAATCATGAATGTCCTTAATGTCATCTAGAATGGTCAATCTGTTCCAGAAGGTTTTCAATTTAGTTTCCCATCAGAGGAATCACTATCTATGGCAGCTACATCCTTAAAAAAATGTATTTGTTAAATAACAGAACTTGAAAGTTGAAATTACTCCTTGAGCCATGGGCTGCAGAATGTTAGAAGGCATAAAAATGAGAATGAAAAAATGTATAAATACTTTTTATCTGAGGAATGTTTGACTTTTACATTTTAAGGCCCAAAGAGGCATTAAAAGCAGACAGCAACCATGTCCTACTTCCCATATTGAAACTGCTTATCTCTTGAAATTGCTTGTTAATGCTCGAAGTAGCTACAAATTAAGCTAAGAATGCCACATGCCAGATACTGTAACCCACTCTTTACAGCTCAACAATGTATGGCCAATCATGAATCAATGTTATTTCTGTAAACCAATGAGAATCCCTGACAAATTTATATCAGTCTACTCAGTATTTCTTCTTTTACCTTTAGTTATATTTTATTTATTTATTGTTTGGGGGACAGAGTTTTGCCTTGTTTCCCAGTCTGGAGTGGCATGAATGCGGCTCACTATAGCCTCAGACTCCTGGTTTCAAATGAACTTCCTGCCTCAGCCTCCCAAATAGTTTGGACTACAGGCATGCACCTCCACACCCAGCTAATTTTTAAAATTTTGTAGAGATGGAGTCTCATCACACCCAGGCTGGTCTCAAACATCTGGGCTCAAGTAATCCCCTCACGCTGACCTTCCAAAGTGCTGAGATTACAGGCATGATTCGCCATGCCTGGCCTCTTTTGCCTTTAAAAACCTGGTTGTAAGGAAAGACAAATGGAGCACTCTCCAAGGCAACCTGAAAGTATGTCCAGGTAACTGTCCTCAACCTTGGCCTTTATAAACTCTCTATATTATTTTTTGCCCCAGCTTCTTGCCTTAGATATGTAAAGACAATATTAATCTCTCTGTACATCTCCACCAGAGTTCTTTTGTGATCATGTGCATTCTCAGTGAGCAGTAATATTTTGAAAGGAACCTTTGCTTTTCTGAAAATTGGATCTAAAAAGTAGGCTTAACATTCAGTAAACCATTACGTAACAGATGCGCTGTCATCCAGGCTGTGTTGTCCCATAGGCGAGTAGATTTATCATAAATTCTTAAGGACCCTAAGATTTTCACAACTGAGCATTTAGCTTTAACTTAATATGACAAGCTTCATTAGCTCTAATAAGAGAGTCAACCTGTTCTTTGTAGCTTTGAAGCCAGGCATTGACTTTTCCTCTTTAACTATGAAAGCTCTAGATGGCATCTACTTCCAATATTAAGCTGTTTAATCTCCATTGAAAATCTGTTGTTTAGTGGAAAGAGCTTCAATAGTAATCTCAGCTCGACCTTCTCAATAATTTGTTGAAGATTCTACACCAGCACTCGCTCCTTCACCTTGCACTTTTATGTAATGGAGGTTTCTTTCCTTAAACCTCATGGACCAACTTCTGTTAGCTTCTAACCATTCTTCTGCAATATTCTCACCTCTCAGCCTTCACAGAATTGAAGAGAGTTAGGGACTTGCTCTGTAGTTGACTTGGCTTAAGGGAACGTTGTAGTTGGTTTGATCTTCTATTCAGACCAGTAAAATTTTCTCCACATGAATAAAAATCTGTTTTGTATAAAGGTTCTACATAGCTTAAAGCCACAATGAGATTAAACTAAATGTTTTTGTTTAATATTTGATACTTTCATATCATTCATGTTTTCACTGAGTAGTACTTTTAATTTCCTTCAATAACTTTTCCTTTGTATTTACAACTTGTCTGTTTGATGCAAGAGACCTAATTTTCAGTTCATCTTGGCTTTTGACATGCCTTCCGTACTAAGCTTAATTATTTATAGCTTTGATTTAATTTGGGAGATGTGCAACTCTTCATTTCACTTGAACACTTTGAGGCAATTGTAGTGATATTCATTGGTCTAATTTCAACATTGCTGTGTCTCAGGGAATAGGGAGGACTGATGAGAGCAAGAGAGATGGGTGAATGGCCAACAGTGGAGCAGTCAGAATACACACAACATTTATTGAATAAGTTCACCATCTTATATGGGTCAGGTTGATGGCTTCCCAGAGCAATTGCAATAGTAACATTTAAGATCACTGATCAAAGATCGCTGTAACAGATATAATAATAATGAAAAGTTTGAAAGATTGTGAGAATTACCAAAACATGACACAAAGGCACTAAGTGAGGACATGTTACTGGAAAAATGGTGCCAATAGACTTACTTCATGCATGGTTTATGCAAATCCTCAGTTTGTGAAAAAATGTACTATCTGCAAAGCACAACAAAGTGAAGCACAATAAAAGAGGTACTTTAGTTAGCTTGATATAGAACTGAATATAAGAATTGTTATTTGGGGAAGATTTGAAATGGTCTGTGTTATATAACCTTCAATTAACCTGAATGAGTTTTTCAAATAATCTGTTCTTATGAATTGAAACATATTTTTTCAATATTATTAATTTATTGACCACTAAAACCATTAGTTGCTTGCCAAATTGTCCATTCACAGCTATTTATAATTTCTTTATTTACCCCATTCACTGCATTTTCAGTTTCTAACTACACATAACTTTCTAATTAATATAATATTATCTCCTTAAAAAGGTACGCAAAAAACATTTTCCATCTCTATGGTTATGGCTTACATCTTTTGATACTGAAATAGGAGGATTTATGTAATACATTTCCAGACAATATTTTTTTAAATCTCATTGTGACTTTAAGTTATGTAGAACCTTGGTATTTTCACAATTACTTACAGAATTATATGTCACACAAAATTTTATACCCATTATTCTGTAATAGAATATATTTATTTTGTTTATAGTTAACATATAATGTTACTATAATAGCATTTAATATAGTCACAAAGGAAAAAAACGTTTAATATTTGCTGCTGATACAAGCACATTTTAATCTCTCTTTCCATATTACTCCAGGCTTCTTTGTTATCACTGTCCTGTAAAAAGAAGTTTGACCTATTTTCAAAAATCCACTGCAGACTGCATATGCAAATGTCATCTTTGCTGTATTATTTTCATAATCTTCAGATGCTAACACATAGGTTCTCTCACACTTTGCTGAATAAGTTGTACTATGCATAGTATTTTAATATAATTATTTTTCATCTCATACTTACGTAGCCTAAGAGGAAGTTAAGAAAACCCAGGTACCACCAAACAAACAAAAAAAATAATTAGATGATCTTCTCTCACAGGACAATTTTACATTATGTGTAGGCATACATCTAGTTCCTGTGAGAAACATATGCCTTCTCCTGATCTTGGATAAAGGAGAGTGTTCTAAGAATGACATAATTGACAAATACTGGTCATTGAAATGCTGGTTTTGTTTTCAAAATGGAGGGAAGCCTTGATTTTAGTTAAGGATCTCATAGTTTCCTGGGATGCTGAGGAACTTAACAAGAGCTCAAAAGCAAATACACTCAATTATAAAAGGAGAATTGATAACAAATAACTCAGAATTAAATAGCAATCCTAATTTCAAATTCCAAAGCCCTATACTTTGGAGATGAGTGGGGTTTTGAGCAAATTTAGTCTTGAGATGATTTTTGTTACACATATTTTGTGCCTTACTCTAGAACATTCTGAACAGGTGATATTAGTTACTCTATAAATCTCTTTTCACTTACATTGAAAGTTTGAATTTAAGCCATGTTCTCTGAGGTAAAGGATCAAAGGTTTTATCTACTAAGCCACCAAACCCCTCATTTCAAGTATTTTTGAGTCCGAGTATTTCTTTGTGACAGAAGACACTCATGAGGAATTATATGCTGTGCCTGAGGGTGAGGAAGTACAAGAAAGACAGCCTTATTAAGAGTACATGTGCTGCAGACTGACAGATTTTGACCTTCACAATGACACAAAGGCAAAGATGAATGCAAAAGAGCCTCACTGCTGTTGAACATTGTAACAAGACAATCTTTAGGACCTAAAAATATAAAATAAAAAAGAGAAGGAAAACTGTTTATGAATATAGGGAGAATGAAAACAAGTCTACTATTGGTTTGAGAGAAGTAGAAACTCAAAGATAGAAAACTTTAAATACTGTTGGTCAAACAAGATATTAAGGATAGAAGAAGCAAAAGGGCTGATATTGTCTAGTATTGTCTGACAAATTATTATTTCAACCGCTTTTCTCCTTTTGTAAACAGAAATGATTATTATTCTTCAAGAAGAAATCCACTAACAGCATCCTTTTCAGGTAACTTTTTAAACTTTTTAAAATTATATTATCATTGGAAATAAACATACCAAGGCTTAAGCACCAAAGTGAAATCAGCAAAAATAGATAATAATCAGTTAATTGTACTTTAATTTTAATTAATTTTATTTGTCTTCTTTTTATTGTAATTTGTATTCTAAATTAATGCAACAGTGTTGTGAAAACAAGTTAGGAAGAACCCACCTGATGTCATATACTCTCTAGTGAGCAAACAGCATTGTGCAGTAGAATTACAACCAGAATAACTCAAACGTTTAGTTTTAAGTAAAAAATATTGTCACATGTGTCTTTTAATTTTTACTAATGAGTTGCAATAGCCTCCAGATCCTCATTAGCAGAAAGTTGTCTCCTTTTTCCTGTCTTCTCAACACTTTGCCCAAAGCATCTTGTCTCGGGTTTTGTAATACAGTCTCATCTAAAGTGGTTTAATTCTCCTTTCAAATGCCAGAGAAGAGACAACACCAGAAAGCCCACTGGCACCCATTGCTTTTCAACCTGCCAGAGTCCTCATTAGCAGCCACCAATTACAATTACTTACAGTAATCTCTCAAAGATATCTTTTTATCTCAAAATTGAAAAAATATATAAATGAAAACCACCAATATAAACTAGATAAATTTAAAACATAACTAAGCTTAATTCAAAATATATATTTTAGAAATCCATAATGTTTATATTATGAAATTTCTCAAGAATGGGTTTTTTATTTTTCCATTTTTTTCATTTCCAATAATTTCAATAACATTTAAACAGAATAATATTAAATTAGACTCTATTAAAATTTGTTAATAAAAATTTTAATTATTGAAAATCATACTAGTTAGAAGCAGGAATTAATTCTGTATAATGCCTGTATAGAAAAATGTATGATCATTTTTACTGGCTAAATATATATCAATTATCCTGTCATAAATAAAGCAACTATCTGTAAATTTAAAAGATATCGAAGGAGTTTAGAAATTGCCATGCCAAAATATGCCACTTCAGTATATTAATTATTTTTCATTGAAAGCAATCTTTCAGTGCTATTATTAAAGTTGCTACTCAATTATTTGGAAAGAGCTTGCAGGAAGAAAGAGGACTTAAATTCCACACTCACCTTGCAAAGCGAGTCTTTAAAAAAACAAACTTATGACTCTGAGAGTACCTCAAAGTCCACCCATTTTTCTTGCCAACCACAAACCCTTCCCTATTTGTCTCCAAATGTTCGTAGATAATATAAAAAGCCAGGACATAGGAACAACAATTATCTTGCACTTAAATGAAAAAAAAAATCTTAAATAATCCCTTAGAAACCAGAGCCCTTGGAGAATAATGTTTTCCCCTTCTCTCAGATAATTCCCCATTGATTGAGATGGTCATCTAATCCTTCACTGTATACCCAGTACCCACCATTAAACTTAAAATGGAGAATTGGGAATTGGAGTTCTTCATTGACAATGATAAAACTTTTTCTTCCATCAGTTTAGAAATTTTCTATCTGTCACTTCTAATTTCATTCAAGCTGTGGAATTCTCTGGGCAAGCACTTTATTGCCTATATCTCAGGCTAACCCAATATCCTCAGGACCTCTCCACATCCATGCTGCCTTTTTAGCTTCAGACTTCTCACCAGCAAATATTTTAAATAGGGATTTGTCATGTAAATGTAATGCCACTATACAATGTAATGAGGAACACATTTTTATTTCTCTGCCCTCAGACCAAACCTCAAACTTCCTGCTTTTCCTAATAGAGAACCACCTCAATTTAAAATACTCTAAAATCATGCAACCTTACGAGATGTTCCAGTTATTTCTTGGCCTCACATGCAAATGAGGTTGGATTGCTACTGAGTGCAGAACCCATGAACATTGTTTAAAAATGGAAAATATGTATTAATAGCTTATCTCCAATATTAAAATTCACAAAATAGTTAGAGTAAGCAGTGATATTGTCAACTTCTTCAAATTCATGTATAATATGTGAATTAATGTTAATTTGATCATATTAATACCAAATGACAGTCCTTAATACAGTACTTATTACATGCTTAATGGTATGCTAAATTCTTTAAATGGATTATCTAATGTTACTCACACAACAACTATATCAATTGATGCTACAATTAGCCCACTTTACAGATAAATTGAAATGCAGAGATATTTATACTGTGTACCTTGACCAAATTCACAGTCAATAAATTCAATAATCATTCTTATCTCAAAATACTCTGACTAGTCTGCGTAAGCACTTAACTACCAGGCTGCAACTTTACTGGTAAAAAAAGAGGTGATGTGGATCTACAATTTCATACAGTTATTAAGAATTAATGTGTGTCATGTAACATCTATAAAAACAGCTAAAATATTATATTTAATTCTACCCTTTTACAAAGTCACTTAAACATTTAATGGTATGTAAATTTAGAAATGTATTCTGCAACAATCTGGAATAAATAATAAATTTTAGGTTATTAGCATAAATAATCACAGAACATTTGGTATTGATAATACTTAGAAAGCCCTTCTAAACAAAGGCAAAAGAAATAAAAAAAAGTAACTGCAGTATTTCATCCATAACCAGATGGTCAGGCATAACAAATCAGGAGTATGTAAATAACAGCATTGCAAGAACACATGAAAAATGACTAGTTACTCGACATCTACTTATACGTAGATGATCCCCATGTAGACAAGACAAAAATATGTACTTTTTATTGAGACTAGTGCGGTCCCTGGAGTTGCCAGTGTCATTTTAAAGTTCATTTATATAAAGGTACGTAAACAGATGTGTGAAGAACATCTGGGTCTTGTGCTAAAATCAACTATAAAATATAGTACATATGCAATTCAAATGCACACAAAATAAAATGGGAAAATATAGTCGACTGTAAGTTACTGAACTCAGCACCATTATTCTCCATCTTGATGCCTACCGCAAGTATTTTTTTTCTATATATTAGCAAACATTCAGTAAAAAGTAATGTACAGGCTCCAAGTCAACCAATGCCTTTATAACAACAAAGTAACAATTTTAGAAAGAATACATGGGTACATTTTATATGGAGATAAGTTTAATAGAGATAGCTATATTCATCCCAACAAAAATTTTATCAAAATATTTGCTTCAAAATAAGCATTTTTGATATATTGAGGAGAGATTTTCAGCCAAAACAGGTCACCCACAGCTAATGATATGGCTTTTTTCTTTATGCATATATTATGATTGGCAAGCTGCCGATGGGCTTGTGTAAATAATGAACAAAGCAATGAATTTGAAAATTGTAAACCACTGGACCAAGCTGCTGTCTTAATGGCAGAATATTAACTTCCACACCTGGTCCTCATTCTGATAATCCTGAAGTATCTTTATCAGACTTATTTACATTGTTCTTTCTTAATATTTAACACTAGTCATATAAAAGAGAATTATAATACTTTAATAAAAAATAGGAAGATTAGTTTGGCTGAAGAGTCACTTGCTTCAGTAAAATTCCACTCTTTAAAAATCACTTCAATTCTTGTTCTACTTTAACTGTTTTCGTGAAATCATTTTCTCTCAGCCTTAACCATACTACCTATATCTAGTTTATTTCTGCTGGATTATCCTAACATAACATGAACATATTTTAAGTCAGAAGCCATATCGTGTCTTCCTTTTTATCACTTCTAAAAGCAGTATGTATACAATGAGCATTCAGATTTCTCCTTTAATGGATCACCTGGTTATGTCATAACTTTAGTTATGATAAAGCAATGGTTTAATGTTCTCTGTAATACCTTCCATGTACTTTTAAACCTTAATCCCTTTTGTAGTTGTCTTTTCTAAGACAAATTATGCCACCCAATGTAATTGTACTTTTAAAAATTAATTTTAAAACAGGTGTAACTGCATTTTGCCAATATTTATTAAATCTAGGAGTTATGACTTTGCCATAAAGTTACATTTCTTCCTGTTTTCTATTAAAAAATCTAAATATTAAATAAATTAATTTTTATAGTTTTTGTATTATTTTAAACATATCTCCCGTCATTGTCATTTAACCTTTATTATATTCTTGACCTTTTCCCTCTTATGTATAATAAAACTTTAGGTACATTTGACATTTGTAGACTATTTGGTTTAGCTTTTGTTATAAATGTTCACAATAGATTTCAAACTTTTTATTTACTTTTAAGTAAACTTAAAGGACAAATCATTTTTAATTAGAGAGACATATTTCAGATATTAATCTTATCCATCTCCTTCTTTTAACTTGTAACAAGAATGCCCCACATATGCCATAGCTGCTGTCACTGTAACTTTCTATGCCCACGTTCGGTGCTGCTGACCATCCATCATACTCCCAGATTAGGGCCAAATTTGGCCTTAAATTCTTTTCTGTAATGTGACTGAGAAGAGATAATCAATGAATATTATTTTTTATTTTAAACTGATGTTTATAAAACAGTTTTCTAAGGAATCATCTGGAAAGCTTAGACATAAAATACATTTCTAGTCAGCTCCCTAGAAGTTTTGATTGAATATGAATGGGAATCTGTATTTTAATAAAAATCTCTAATTTATTGAAGAAGTCAGATCAACAATTATTTAAGGTCCACACTTAGGAATAGCTGGTCTGAAACATTCAAATTAATGATCATGTCTTTTTATTTTACTTATTTGTTGATATATTTATACACTCATTTGGTTTATTATTTGGGTTTATTCATTCAAGTAATGTTACAGGCTAAATGTTTATGTCCCTCCAAAATTCTCATGTTGAAATCCTAACCCCAGTGTGACTGTATTTGGAGATGGGGCCTCAAAGGAAGTAATGAATGTTACATGAGGTCATAAGGGTGGAGCCCTCATCCTACAGGGTTAGTTTACTTACAGAAAGAGACAGTAAAGAGCTTGCTCACTCCCTCTCTTCTCACTCACACACGCTGGAGGAAGGGCCACATGAGAACAAAGTGAGAAGGTTGCCTTTTGCTACCCAGAAAGAGAACATTCACCAGAAATCAACTATGCTGCCACCTTGATCTTGAACTTCTAGCCTCCAAACTGTTAGAAAATACCTTTCCATTGCTTAACTCATTCAGTCAGATGTATACCACATTTTGTTAGGGTGGCCTGAGCAAACTAATATAAGTAACAAATTCAGTAGTAATTTCTTTCTATTATTATTTTTTTTTAATTACCCTATTTATATTAAAGCATCTTATTTCCAAAAAAAAAAAAATACATTTTTCCTTCATTTGGTGGTCTGGAAAGATGAAACATATGAAACAAAATAAAATAAAATAAAATGGAAAAAAAATGTGTCTGTCAGATGTTAGGCAAGAAAATGGAATCATTAATCACAATGGGAATTAGAGATTTGTTATATGAATTAGGCCTTATTCATATGTAGGGAGATTTTGAAAGAAAATTGAAATGGGAACATCAGCAAATCAGAGAAAGACTCACTAACCAGTTCTTGTATAATATTGCTGCATGAATAAGACCTCAGAGGAAAGTACGAGAATTCAATAAATCTGCAACTGAAGAGCAATCGGTAAGCGGGGATTCAGAAAGAGATCTACAGAAATTTCCAGGTCCTGGAAATCTTTTGCCCCTTTGTAACTACCTCTCCAATGGGCCTCCAGCCATGCACTGAGTGGTTGACCCGGGGCCACAGGGGCCAGCACGATTAGCAGTCAAGTTGGGTTCCATATCTAAGTGGAGTTTAGATATGGAGATCACCCAAAGGCACCCCTTCAAATGTTCATGACCAGGTTCCACTGTGAGAACCTCCCAACCTTACAGGCTGCTGCTTTTACTTTGCCTTTCACACCTCAGGTAAATTTTACCATTAGCTAACTATACTCCAAAACCTAGGGAAGGGGATTCTGAGAAACATTTATTTATTTATTTATTTTTAAATTTTATTATTATTATACTTTAAGTTTTAGAGTACATGTGCACAACGTGCAGGTTTGTTACATGTTAGACCTAAAACCATAAAAACCCTAGAAGAAAACCTTGGCAATACCATTTAGGACATAGGCATGGGCAAGGACTTCATGTCTAAAACACCAAAAGCAATGGCAACAAAAGCCAAAATTGACAAATGGGATCTAATTAAACTAAAGAGCTTCTGCACAGCAAAAGAAACTACCATCAGAGTGAACAGGCAACCTACAGAATGGGAGAAAATTTTTGTAACCTACTCATCTGACAAAGGGCTAATATCCAGAATCTCAAATGAACTCAAACAAATTCACAAGAAAAAAACAAACAACCCCATCAAAAAGTGGGTGAAGGATATGAACACGCTTCTCAAAAGAAGACATTTATGCGCCAAAAAACACGTGAAAAAATGCTCATCATCACTGGCCATCAGAGAAATGCAAATCAAAACCACAATGAGATACCATCTCACACCAGTTAGAATGGTAATCATTAAAAAGGTGCTGGAGAGGATGTGGAGAAATAGGAACACTTTTACACTGTTGGTGGGACTGCACCCAACAGTGGAAGTTCAGCCATTGTGGAAGACAGTGTAGCGATTCCTCAGGGATCTAGAACTAGAAATACCATTTGACCCAGCCATCCCGAGAAACATTTCTAATAGCCTTAGCAAAGGTGACATAAAGCAAACCAGCATGGAACAAAGAAAACTGCAATTCAGCATTCTCTCCAGGTAAAGGTTAATTTTCTCCTCTGATTCTTCACAGTAAAATAGAATGTGATAATCAAGTACTAGTTTGGGAATCATAAAAATGGGGGATAATGCTATTTATTCTTCTGATAAATATATACCACAATGCAAGTCTGTCAACATTTTCAGGTTAAATATTTTCTGTAAATGAAAAGAGCCTATTAAAATAATCATGGCTGAGGTTCTTTCCTGGACAAAACTCTGTTATACTCTTTATTATTGTACTTTGCTTCTTTGTTGTCCATAAGCAAAGAAAATCTAAAAGCATGGTAGGCTGTTGGAGTCTTTAATATATTAAAGAGGTCTGAGTCAATCAAGTACAATATGCATTGTTTATCCTTGCATCTTGTATAAAACATGCTACTTAAAGCCTTACATTATCCAGCTTTATCCCAGAAAAGATTGGCTCTACTAACTCATTCAGGCTTCTGTTCCTCTGCAATACCTAGATCATCTCTGATTATGATATTTCATCAATATACACCCAATTTTTGAAGCTGTATTTGCAAAAGTCATTACAATGTAGCTGAGTTTAGAAAGTGAGATTTTAATTTTCAAAATTGATGTTAGAGTAAAATGAAGAATCACATGCTTTCTCTTAAAATGTCACATTGTGTCAAATAAAATAATGTTTTTTTAATTAAAGGATATTATTGCTATAAGAGATAATAGACAAATGTCTCTTACAGATGAACCCCCTTAACTTGGGTGAAGATAATCTCCCCTCAAAAAGCTGGAACCATTCCACCCTCTCTTGAATATGTGCTCTGGTTAGTGACTGGCTTTGAAAGAGTAGAGTACAAAAAGGGGATGGGGTAAAAGGTTACCACGGTTCCAGGGGAGAAAGCTGGCAAACACTGCCTTCGACAGGTAATTGTTAGCATCATTAATGATGAGCCCTGTTGATAACATGTATTTCCATATAATGTGCTAAATTTAGTACTTGACCCCATAGTCTTCCTCCCAAACCACATAACCCATATCTAATTACAAGAAAAAAAGATCAGAAAAATCCCAACTGAGTGACATTGCACAAAATACCTGACCAGTACAAATTAAAACTGTCAAGGTCATCAAGAACAAGGAAATTCTGAGAAACTGGTATAGCCAAGAGGAGCCTAAGGAGACATAATGATGAAAAATAATGTGTCCTAGAAGGAATTCTGGAACATAATGAAAACAGGAGGAAAAACTAGCAAAACTGTTGTAGAAAATGGCATATGGTTAATAGCAACACACCAAATTTGGCTACTTAGTTGAGACATAGGTACCAGAAAAGTTATATAAGATGTTGAAAAAATGAGAAACTGGTTAGGAAAATATGGGAACTTTGTACTGTCTTTGCAACTTTTCTATAAATCTAAACCTATTCTTAAAAGGTTATGAAAATCATTAGTAGGTTAGGATTGTAATTATTTTATAGATTCATTCACTCAGCAAATATTGAATACTTGCATTTACACACACACATATAAATTTGATTCTTCTCTTAAAACCCATTGTTTATTGATATTAAGCCTATATTTTATAGTAGTAATTAATTGGATATAATAATGGTTTTTATTTTAGATAGGACAAGGGCCGTCTAGTTCACCAGAGTTCCCCCCAATCCATTTATCTCATTTGTAACCTATAATCTGAGTAAAGAGACAATATGTTAAAATAAAAGTTGTAATAAAAAATAAATAAAGCCAAGTATCATAAAAACCATAAAAGAGTGATGTCATGTGAATAAATAAATACTAACTTCTTCACATTTCAATATTCTGATTGTGTTGAATTTATTCTTCAAAGAAAGTTCATTCTCTGATATGAATAAAAGGGTGGCAGGAAGATACATGGGAATAGAGCAGGATAGACTAAGATGATAACAAGTAGAAGAGCTTGGGAATTAGGAAGCTAGCTACAGCTAAGTCATAATAATATTTTGAATCTTGGCATATCACCAGAATCATCTGAGAATTTGTTAAAAAAAATAAAAAAATACATAGATTCTTTAGGCCATTGTTTCTTAAAGTGAAGTCCCATCACTAGCAGTGTTGGCATCACTGGGGATGTTTGAGAAATGCAAATTCTTGAGCCCCATTTCAGGCCAACTGAATAAAAAACTCTGGAGATGAAACCCAGAAATGTGTGTTATCACAAATACTTTAGGTAATTCTTATTTCAGGCTAAAATAGGAAAACCACTTTCCAATAGATTTCCTTTAGTTGTTTTTTTTTTTTTTTTTTTTTGAGACAAGAGTCTCTCTCTGTCTCCCAGGCTGGAGTGCAGTGGCGCGATCTCGGCTCACTGCAAGCTCCGCCTCCCGGGTTCACGCCGTTCTCCTGCCTCAGCCTCCCCAGCAGCTGGGACTACAGGCACACGCCGCCACGCCCGGCTAATTTTTGTATTTTTAGTAGAGACGGGGTTTCCCCGTGATAGCCAGGATGGTCTCGATTTTCTGACCTTGTGATCCGCCCACCTCGGCTTCCCAAAGTGCTGGGATTACAGGCATGAGCCACCGTGCCTGGCCTGCTTTAGTTATCTTAAACAGCATTACATTTTATTTACCATTCAGGGTGAATCTGATGAAGATTGTGGGAAACACTGCCTATTTAAAGATGAAAATACTATGGAGATATATGCGCACCCAGTGTCCTACTGGTTAACCCAGAAAATGTAACGATTTGACCTTTGATTATTCAATGAGTTTACTTTTGATTGTGATTAAAGAAAAAGAAAGCATACCTACCTACAGTGTTAATCATTTGATGTTGATTCTGGAGTACTCTGGTCAATGGCTACCTCTATATACTTCCATTTTTAAAAATTACCTCATATTTTTGGCATTGTGCTAATGGTTTTGTTTGATTCATAGTGACATTTACGGGGCCAGCATTATTATTTCCATTTGAGAACTGAGAAAAATAAGAATGAGAGAGTTTAAATGACCTGATGAACTTGCATTTTAGAAATAAGCTTATTGTGTTCTTCACTCTACAACCTTGGCTCTTTCAATCATTCAATCCAGATCTGTTTTAACACATCAAATATTTGCTAGTCACTGGAAAATGTGTTTGGGCTGCAAGATAAGACCAAAAAATGAATGAAACAAGGATATTTTTACTATAATTCAAATTATAATCTGCTGTTGTATTCTAATAATTTTAATAATCATATATATTGGGAGTTTTTTTACCACATGAATTTCCAAATTCAGATATTATAGAAATGACAATCTACTTTTAAATCCAAGACAGGATCAGATCATCTTTTCCGTGGTTGCGTCTCCTTTAGCATACAAATCTGGGTTAGTTGGCCTGTGATTGCTCAGAGATAATTGAGAAATTATAGTAATGATTTTTCAGTCAGGTAAAGAAATCACCATTTTGTTGTAAGTGAACTGGCATTCTTTCATTTCTTATGTCATCTAGTGTATGAACAAAAAATAATATATTTGGGCAAATGTAAATACTAGTTTTGGAAAATATGTATTGAAACTACAACCTGACAACAATTTGTACCGTGGAAGAGGAAAAACTTATCCTCTTAGGTTCTGTAGCTGGGTCTAAAAACTAAACTAATATAGGACAGATTAAGAAGAGAAAATAATACAAATTTTATGGAATATTTTTAAGTGCTCAGCAGAGACATCACAAGAAAAATGGAAAACAAAAGAAGCAGTTAAGACTGATAACATATATTTTTAACAACAACAAGAAAAAAAATGGTAACTTTGTGTGGGGGTGTGAAAAGCCACATGGATTTGGTCTAGAAGCAGTAAATTCTGGGAAAGAAACCAGAAAATATATGGAAAAACTAATGAAAGATAAAGGTTGTTTTAGTAGGTTTGTTTGTACAGATACATTTGTGTATCTATTCCTAGTGTCTGGTGATGAGAATGTGCTCTTCCTGATACAGGGTGAGCATTTTCCTAGTGGGAAATTTTATGACCTGCTTTTAGCTAGAGGGGTCAGAGACCCCTTTCCTGCATCAGCTATTTTTCAAATGACTTCTCCTCAAAATAATCAATATTCCTAAGTATCATATTGTTTTGGGTCGTGTTCTGAACTCCTTCACCTCCCCTGTCTGAAACTTCCCAAGAAATTTTACGAATTAAAAAACTGAGTTGGTGGATGTGGAAAGGAGAAATAGGTTGGTAGCAGAGTAGTTAAAGATCCACAAAGGGACAAGAGAACACAGATTAGTATAAGAATAAGTAAGCGGAAAAAGACCACAACAAAGCACACGTCTCCAAATCCCATTAAAGCAAACTCCCAAACTTGAGAATGGATAAATTCAATAAATTGGTTGAGCCTCATTAATCTGACAGAGTGTTTATCTTCTTTTTTTAAAAAGTGTACATTAGACACTCTTTATCCTGTCCAATTCACTTGGAAGCAGCATTTTTTGACAATGATTGCACAATTTTCCCTCCTGCTTGAGGGGCAGTCAGTGTACCCAGGACATGACAATTTTGAAGTACAAGAGCATTCAACTTAAATTCTGATTAAAATGCTGCCAACGTTCTCATAGTGGTGTGAAATCTTGTTCTAATATCATGGAAATATTTCGGATTTTTTTTCACACCATAAATTCTAAAAGTTAGGAGTAAAGAAATAACGTCCTCAACACTGAAAATTACTTAGAGTGGTGATATACAAGAGAGTTTTCTGTTCTGTCTCATGTATTACGTTTATATGGCAATAACTTATAAACAAAGGAGCCCAGGCTTGTAATTTGACTAGCATTGAAGGTGGAGTACCAGATGAAGGAAGGAACCAAGTACCCAATTCTACATTGTTCTGACCATTTATGTGGGAGTGCTTTATATTCCTTGTCACCACAGAAGATAAAATGACCAGTGTTGTTCATGGGCAAGGTCAGAGTGGAGCCTGCAATCCCACAGTCCAGTGTGCTTCAACCATGAATACAATATTGCCTTGCTATGTCAGCTAGGAAGGGTCTTGTACCATCCATGTCTGTTTTAAATGCAAAGAAAAAAATTTCCTTCTAATATTTTTACCTGAGCAAAGGACAATCCTTGAGCTTCCACAGTGGTTTTACTTCAGTCACTTAACTCACTTGAAGAGGTAGACTGACATTGTTTTCCTGATTGTGGATGCGATTCCCTTTTATTCATCTTCTGTAGTTGATCCACAAAGTGCTCACATTGACAGGAGCAAAAGCTAACTCAGGTTGTTTCTAGATGTTGATGTAACCAGCAATCTTATTGACTAGCTAGCATGGCCAGGGGTTGAAAAAGTGGGGTAAGGCAGTGTCAAGTCTGTGCCTGACTTGTTGAGAAGACAGTAAGGGTTAACAGAAGTAAGGCAAAGTTTGAAAGTGAGCCCATATTGAAGGATCAGAGGAAGAGTAGGATAGATTGAAAAAAAGCAATCTTCATTTGGTCTTTTAATAAGTGGGCAACAAAGGAAGGTTTTATTTAAACCAAATAAATAAATACTTTTTGTTTTTTAGGATGGAGAGAGACTTCAAAAGAGGGAAATTTCTTGATCTGTGATTTTAGGAATAGCAGTCTGCTTTTTTATTTTTTTGACTTCAGAGCCTGGGAATAGCTATGAGTAGTTGGCCATTCTTGCATTGCTATAAAGAAATACTCATGTCTGGGCTTAATTTGTCTCACATTTCTGCATGCTGTACCGAAGTGTGGTGCCAGTGTCTGCTTCCGGTGAGGGCCTCAGGAAGCTTACATTCATGACAGAAGGTGAAGAGGGAGCAGGTGTGTCACACAGCAAGTGTAGGAGCAAGAGAGAAGAGGGAGGAAGTGCCATATTATTTTAAATGGCTGGATCTTACATGAACTACCAGAACAAGAACTCACGCATTGCTAAAGAGATGACGCTAAGCCATTCATGCGGGATCCACCTCCATGATCCAAATACCTCCCCCCAGGCCCCACAACCAGCATTGGGAATTGCATTTCAAGATGAGATTTGGAGAGGACAAATAGCCAAACAACCATATAACTGTGGAAATTCCTATTTTGAGCTCACCTAAAAGGATGGTCTTCCAATTGCCCTGGTAGTAATTACCTTGGTCTAGTTTAGTGTGGCTTTTATGAAACCAGGAGAATTTTTCTCTCATTTTGACGGCAGTGTTGGAGTCAGCAGTCCTTTGCAAAGCCCTTTTCAGTGTTTTCGGTACTGCGCAAGGTGACAATGTATGCTTTCTTCTAAAACCCTTTAGGCACGGCCAACCTCCTGCCTTAAAAGAATGGCAAGTTGATGGAGGCCACACATTTTTTTTCACCTGTTGATAATGTTTCAAATATACCTGTTAGCTCTTATATATAGCTAGCCATAGCATCGAATTGTTCACTTAAGTCCCCATCGTGTTCTCTCAATTCAGGAATGGAGGTTTAGAGATGCCAATAGGCATAGGGAGACTCAAAATTATTTTACAAGGGGTTTATCTGTGTGTGCTATTTGGAATATTACAGATTTTTATAAAGGCCAGGAGTATGGCTTCTGGCTATTTAAGTGTATTTGAGTCTAGATTTTTATATTCCATTTGCCCTGGTGTTTGAGGATAGTACAGAATACCCAGTGTTAATGAGAACCCCAAAGTTATTGTAAGAAAGTAGTTTATTTGTGCCATAAAATGAAATATCTGATCTGATTCAATCCACGAAGAAATGCCCAAACGAGGAATAATCTAAGTTAATTGTCTTTACTATTGTAGTAGAATTAGTATGAGTAATCACCAAACAGTGAGAGGAACCTAAATATGGTGGTAAATCTATAAAATCCATCTGGAGTGGTACTAGGAGCAGCGTAGACCTTGGAGGATTCTCTGAGGTTTGCTAATTTCCTTGAGAAATGTGAGATTTATAAGTAATGCTTCGGAAATAACTTGGTCATGAATGTCATGATTTTGTGGATGTCAGGGCAGAACCAATTGTCTTTTAGTCCTTTGTATCCATTTGTGTTTTTCATACTGGTACAGTTGTTTGATAATTAATAAAATTAACCAGGGTTAAAGGCAGGCTTATAACTTGGGTGGAGAAAGTTTAAGGAAGTCTGTTTTCAATTTCATATTTAGTAGCCTTGTCGGTTCTGCTGCTCCTTAGAGATACAGTATTAGTCTTCTTAGTGTAGGCAGGTCAGTGAACAACATAGCAATTTTAGTAGGAAGGTCGCATGCAATCAGGCAGCAATTATATGCCCTTTGGCAGTAAGAGTACCTTCAGAGGTTAAGAATTTGTGGAATTTCCAGACTGTGGCACCACATGACAGACTCCCAAAGCATATCTGGAGTCATTGTAAATAGTGGCAGCTTTGCCCTTTGGCAGTGTGCAATCTTTAATAAGAGATATGAGGTCAACAGCTCTAGCTGATTTTACAGTGGGCAAAGAGTATGCCTCAAGTGTTTCATGGGAGGAAACTATGGTGTAGGCAGTTATGATGTTCCCCTACAAATTCCATTTACAGAAGCCATCACAAAATACAAATAAGTCTGGGTTGTCTAAGAGCTCCTCTGGTGGCTTTAAAATCATTTCTATAGATGCAAGGTAATCATGTAGAATGAAGTGTAGCTAACCATCATCAGAGAAAGATAGCAAAGTAACTGCATTTAAAGAGCTACAGTGACATAAGATGATGGAGATATTGGCTAATAGGGCCTATTCATCAGTGATCTGCTGCCATGTAGAGAGTTACTATGTCTTATGAACTTAGAGCAAACACAGCATGGAGAACATAGAGGTGAATGGAAGTGTCTCATGTAAGAATACTGGCTTTGTCAATTAGGGCAGCACCTGCTGCTATCACACACAGGCATGGGGCATGCCTGATGCCACGGGTCCAATTGACATGAGAAATATGATACAGGACATGTATGAGAGGCAAAAGTTTTGCCCTGCAACAATCACATGAGTTTTATGACAATATAGGTGAAAAGGTTTGTCAAAATTAAGTAAACCACGATGCGGGCAATGCTAATTTTAAGACTTCAATGGATGTAATATGTCCCCAAAGGCCAGGGAATGAGGTGTCAAATAGTATCTGGGAGGAAGGCATATAAGCATTTAGCAAAGGCTGAAAAATTACTAATCCATTGATAACAACAGCCGGGTGCTCCTAGAAATTTTTGTAACTGCTTTTTTTGTTTGTTTTGGAGAGACAGATGGACAAAATTGACTCAAAGCATTTTGTGGGGAGGTTTTGAGTGCTTGCAGATATATCATAGTCTAAGTAGGTTATAATCATTTACACACATTGAAATTTATATTAGGAGATTTTATGGCTTTTTTCAGTTAGAACCTTTGGGAGAATGAGGGAGCCTAAAAGAGCACCCTGCTTAGTTTGGTTATAAAATAAGAGGTCAATAATATGCTGAAAAAGAACGGAGCTTTGGGTAAAGGTTACAGAGTCTGCGTTAGCTTTAAGGATTTGGAGAAATATTGAAGGGGACTTGCAATATCCCTGGAGCATCCAAGTCCATGTTAATTGTCTTTTTCTAAACATAAATGCAAAGAGGAATCACTAGTCAGGTGCAATAGAATTGAAAAGACACCTGAGCAGGGGTCAATTACTGTAAAGCCGACTGTGTTAGCAGAAATTGAGGTAAGAATAGTGGTTGGATTAGGCACTATGAGAAATTACAAAAGGGTTTATAATTCTTGGATGTTGTGCAATCAATAGATTTGGTTTTCTTCCAAATAAAACCTTTTTTTTTTCTACTGACAAGATTAGGGTATTGCAAAGTGAGTGAGTAAAGAGCAGCCTACCGTAAGACAGTCTATTATACATTCACTTCCTCATTATGTGTCTCAAGAAAGGGAGTATTGCTCTATTTATGAGAAAGGTTTATTGCATATTCTTACTGTGACCCACTTACAAAATATCACAAGAAATTTGTGATGTCATGTTCTCAATTTTAAAAATATCATTTAAAAGTCTCTTAATGAAATGTCTAAAGCTATATTTATAACAAAGTGTTTTCAAAATTTTGAAAGATATATTTAATAACATTTTGAATTATAAAGTGAGGTCCAGGTCGGGCGCAGTGGCTCATGCCTGTAATCCCAGCACGTTGGGAGGCTGAGGCGGGCGTATCACGAGATCAGGAGATCGAGACATCCTGGCTAACAGGGTGAAACCCCATCTCTACTAAACAATACAAAAAATTAGCCAGGCATGGTGGCGGGCACCTGTAATCCCAGAACTTTGGGAGGCCGAGGGGGGCGGATCACGAGGTCAGGAGATCGAGACCATCCTGGCTAACACGGTGAAAACCCGTCTCTACTAAAAATACAAAAAATTAGCTGGGTGTGGTGGCGGGTGCCTGTAGTCCCAGCTGAGGCAGGCTGAGGCAGGAGAATGGCGTGAACCCGGGAGGCGGGGCTTGCAGTGAGCTGATATTGTGCCACTGCACTCCAGCCTGGGCGACAGAGTGAGACTCCATCTCAAATAATAATAATAATAATAATAATAATATAAATAAAAAGTAAAAATAAAGTGAGGTCAAATTGTAGACACTCTCATTCATAGGAAATTTACAAATGGTGGATCGTTATCTATACAGCCATAGTGTATTTAATCAATACTCTTATACACATTTCTATGGGCATGTATGTTTAATATAAATTACTTGATGCTTCCAAGTTGTTTATCATAGTGGTTATGCCAATGCCTAAGAGTTTTGGTTTCTTAACATCCTTGCCAATATTTGCTTTTTAATAGTTTGCTAATTTTATGTACATAAAATGACAATTAGTTTCAATATGAATTATCCTGATGATTTGTAAGCTTGAGCAGCTTTCCCCACATTTATTCACCACACATGTATTATATTCTCAGGATTGTTATTCTATTGGTTAATAGTAGAAACTCTATAGTCATACACACAAGGTATAGACCCCCAGTTGCACATTAGCTTTATAAACTTGAGGATATCACTTAAATTCTCTGTTCTTAAGTTTCTTCATCTGTAAAATGAGGATAGTAATAATGCCTGTATCACAGGGATATTCTGAGGGCATAAAGCATTTAGAATAGAGTCTAGCACAAAATCACCACTTAAAATGTTAGTTATGATTATATTCCTACACGTTGGAAGAGCTTTTTATTTTCAATTAATAACACTTCTTATACAAGTTAATGTATAAGTCAATAAAGCATTCTTAGTTATAGAAAGTGAAAACATTTTGTCATATTCTGTGGACTTTATATTTACATGTTACATAGTTTCTATTCTGTAGAAAAAATTTCTAATTTAGTCATATATCGGCTTTTGTGCTTAATTTCAGAATTTTTTTTTCAAAATTTCAGGGTGTAATGAGAATTTCATGTTTTTCTGCTAAAAGTGAAAAAAATGATTTATTTTTTGTCCAGATTATGTAAACGAGATAAGGTATTTACAAATAAATGGCAAAGTATTCTTGAATTATTATAAAAACTCGAACTTTCTCAAAATTTTGCAATGTATTTTCTGCAATGTAGGTAATTTATAGTATAAGCATGGGTATGTGTTCTGCCCATTCTGTCCACTAGTCAATTTATCTCTTACTTTGCTGTTACCATGTTATTGACTTGACAATTACTATCTAGTTAAGAGTCACCGTCTCTGATCACATCATTGCTTTCTTTCTTCAAAACTATCTTGAGTATTCTTGGACCTTTGATGTTCCATGTCAGTTTTCAAATTGGCTTCCAATTCCTACTGCCAAATTTACATAGGATTGGTAATTTCATTAGCTTAGATGTTATAGATTTTTAGGGAAAAAAAAGACACCATTATGATATTATCTTCCCTTCCATAACCAAAGAATTTTCTCCTTGTATTCAATTGTTTATTCTCCAGCAATATTTAGTAATATTCATAGAATTTATGTGCAGTATTTTTGGTTAAGTTTACTCATAGTTTATTTCTAATTTTGTTGGTAATACACATGGATTTTTAAAATGTTGTTCTTGCACCTGATAGCTTTATGTAAAACTGCAGACTGTGAGGAAATCATATTATATGTAAGAAAATAATTTTCACTTTTTCCCCACATTGTATATCCTTTCCCCCTCTTTTTCTTGATGTATTACAATGCACTATAAGCCTAGTGTAATTTTAGGTATAGTTGGTAATAAAAGCCACAGGTCTGGTCTGAAAAGCATAAAATACTCCAGATAGAATTTAATATATGTACTTTGTGAGGGTTTAAAAATTACCTGTTGAGTACAGTGTTCACTTCTTGGGTGATGGGTACACTAAAAGCCCAGACTTTACCATTAAGTAATATACGTATGTAAGAAATCTGCACATATACCCTGTAAATCAATAAAAAAAATAAGAACAGGAGAGTTTTTTTTAACATATTGGAAATTCTCAAGTAAAGAAGGAAAAAGGAGCCTGTCTAGAAGGTGCAAAAAAATAATTAGATAACACCTAGATATCAGAAACTTCTACTGGTCCAGGACTAAAATTCAAGAGGCTGCACCTGCAGTTGCTCTGTTGGAGACAGTTATAGTCTGTTCTGGATTTACCATAAAATTATTTTCTTAACTAGGGCTTGAATTGATACCTGTGCTTAGAATGCTAGCGTCTGAAATAACCTTCTCCTTGCTGTTCATAACTACCACAAACAGTTGCTAGTAGCCATGAGGAGGAGAAATTTCCTCTTTTCTTCCTGCCTTCTGATTTCCAACGACTGTTTCCATTAGGCAGAACTTAGGAAGTTCACTGGCAAGGGATTCTGGGAACTGTAATTTGTAGGTTTGAAACCCAGTAATACAGAGAAAAGAATATAGATAAGCTCCTTAAACTGAATGACAAATGATAATTTATTTATGACTTTGTTTTCAGGGTAAGGATATTCTCTTCTCTTCTGAGTTTATTATAAATCTCTTTAAGTCATGGATACATGGTGAATTGTAACAAACACTGACTTTTTTTCTATAAATCTTCAGATAATCAATTTTATTTTAAATTAATGTCCATATGATACATTACTTGAACAGATATTCTGATGTTACAACATCTTTTAACTCCTTAAATAAATTCACTTGGTAATGATGTATCATTTTTATACAATACTTTATTTGATTTGTCAATATTTTAATTCGTAATTGTGCATATAGTTCACAATTGAGACTAGTATATAAGTTATTTTTCTTTCACCAGTTTTCTCCCATGTGTGGATTAACAATTTGCTAGCATGCTAAAATATATTGGGATTCTTCCCCTATGTTATTATTCTCTGAAGTAGTTTTATCATACAGAAATATATATTTATTAAATTTTATGAATGGTATTTAAATTCTATGATCTCCATTATAATCAGTGAAATATTTGATGACCAAGTTAATTTCTTTAATCTTTTTGTTGTTTTACATATATATTATATGTGAGTTTAAATATATGATATGTGTGTGTATATGTGATATGTAATGACATACCATATATATACACACATACCTATGTTATATATGTGCACATAGAGATATATAATTTCCTCTTTAAAATGTCTTCTAATGCCTTGTCTATCATATTTATCAAAGAAAGAGGTTTTGTTTGTTGATCCAATCTGTTCCTTTTGTGATGTATTCTATATTATTTATTTATGCTATATTTTTATTATCACTGACATCTACTATATTTAGTTTTACTTTGTTGTCTTTGTTACTATTTTTAGTATATTCTTAGTTTATTATTTGTATTTCTTGTGTGTCTATGTGTGCTATTTAGAGCATTTAAAGCTCCAAATTGTCTGCTTAATACTGATTTAGGTATGTCCCACGATTTTTGATATGTAGCATATCCACTACCTTCCATCTAAACCCAGAAGTAATGCAGCATTACATTTTAATTTTTTAAGTATAGGGTTACCATCCCCTACTATATTTGTTGTTTAATTAATTTAAATGCAATATAGAAAATGTGACCTGTATTATATATTCTCTTTAATATTTTATTTTATGATCGTTTGAAAATATATTTCTGGTTCTTATTTAAAATACCTCATGTGTTGCTTGTTTACATATGTATATATATTTATCTATGGTGAATGTATATTCCAATTTTCCTTCAATAATGACTTATTGAGTAAACTCCTGTATTCAAAATGTTTAGGTTCCTTTTGAAGGGATATTTTGTACCCTATGTTATTATATTTTGAGGTTGGTTTCCAATCTCCCTCTGTCTCTTCTCTCACCCCTGCCCCTCTATGATTTTGCATTTTCCCTACAACCCCAGCTTTCATCTCTTTCATGTACCCCGGACATTACATCTTCCAGTTGGAGATCCGTAGCAGAGGATAGTATGGCTCAGCTTCTGGCCAGGAGCCTGTTTCTGTTTCTCCTCATTTGGCCCAGCAGTTTGCTAGAGGCTGTAGCTTTGCCTCTTTCAATAAGCAGCTAAGAGTTATCCGTTAATCAGACTCTGAGACTTAAGCCTGGCTTCAGGTCACTCATCTTGAATGAAACACATTTTTGTCCCATTGCTTATCTCTGATCCTAGAGTCCTCTCCTAGTTTCAATGCTATTGTCCCCATCGTATGTCTGTCTGTCTTATTTCATTTGTTCATGTTTGTGTTTTTGTTTGCTTTTTTTTCTAGTCCACATTGATATTTGAATTATTTGTTCATCTAACCATTCATTGTTATTTATGTAGCTATCGACCAAATAGGTCATTAGGGTTTTAACTTACTGTATTTTTGCACCAGAATTTTTTTGTATTATTTTTATAGTATTGTTTTTCTGCCACATTTTAGTATACTGGATATTGCGAATCATGATAATGTCATTCTGGAGAGATTCATCTACATATAAAAAGCTTTGGATTTAAAGTTTGAATGATTAACCTGGAATTAAAATAATGCCATGATCAAAATCTAAATTCTTTTTTTTTTTTTTTGAGATAGGGTCTCCCGTTGCCCAGTGATTCTCCTACCTCAGCCTCCCTAGTAGTGGAACTACAGGTGTTCACTACCACAGCCAGCTAGTGTTTTGTATTTTTCTTTAGAAGAGATGGGGTTTCACCATGTTTCCCAGGCTGGTCTTGAACTCCTGGACTCAAGCAACCTGCCTGCCTCGGCCTCCCAACATGCTGGGATTACAGGTGTAAGCCACCGTTCCTAGCCCTAAAATATAAATTCTAAGATATTATGTTATTTTAGATAGCCTTGAATATAGGGTTTCTTTGTTATAATTCTCAACTTACATCTTGGAGCGATCCTTACATAAATATCTAAACTGTATTTTTGCCCTGATGATTTTCATATTTTGAAAAATGTCTGCATTACTTTCTTCTTATCAACTATATGTAATTTTGAAATTTATCATAAGGTCCTAGAAAAATTTAGTGAGAATGTGAGGAATTCACTAGAATCTAAAGAATATCTTTTTATATATATATACTTTCTATATATATATACTTTATATATATTATAATATATAAATATACATATATAATACATATGTAATATATATTACATATATTATATATTATATATCTCTATATATAGTTTATATATAATATATAAAGTATACATAGACAGTATATATATATAAAGTATATATAGAGAGAGTATATATATATTCTTTAGATTTGAGTGAATTCCTCTCTCTATATATACTTTATATATATTATATATGATATATATATTTAATATATAATATATATAATATATACATACTTTATATATATATTATATATATACTTTCTTATGTCTCTAATTGTCCAAATATAGTGACACCACACTCTTTCATACATAATAATTTTAATCCTAAAGATTATAGTAGTTGTCTTTATTCTCATATTAAATATCATAGTTGTAAAAGCCATTGTCATGAGGTTTATAGTGACTTGAGGTCCGTTTGAAGATCCTTAGATAAGAAATGATGCTGAATGTGAACTTGGCTCATTGATTACAAGGGATATGAAAAATGTGAATTTAAACGTGTCTTAAAGACAAATGTGGAATTTTGAACTTTCTTAAGTTAAAGCATCAATTGACCAGTAGAATTCATTGCACAAAATTAATATACTACTTTTGAAGCCCTGCTTTGATTACCTTGGATACTACCCTACAACTTATATTATCAGCTTACTTCTTGCTATGTATCAAAAATGGACAGAATGTCACAAGTTCTATTATATTTTTGAAAATGAAAAAAAATCTTTGAATTGAAAATGAAAAATATTGATGATACAACTTTAACCCTATTTTTTGTTTCAGTAAGTCAGCATTTCCTTTAGTAAACAAGAATAAATTCCTGTTCTGCAAATCTTAATGAATATGTATTTTAACTAGATTTAAAATCCTGACCAGTATGTAAACAAAAGATGTTATCATTACATAAATGGTTACATAAGTAGTGTTGATTATGCTGGGTTAGCATCATAAATTCTTCCTTTCATTTTGCTTGTATGTGAATGTGTGACAAGTTTCAAAGAGTACCAGATCAGAGAGGATTTTAAAATCTTCATTTTTACCCAGAATTAACAGATAGTGTGAACTAGAGCGTGTGTCTATTTTCTCATCTAAGAAACGAACAACTACATTAAATATTACTAGTCTCTTTCTGCTTTATGTGTTCTATGTGTGTCTAAGCCTACTTCTGAATAAGAAAAAAAAAGATTCAAAACAATGACGTATTGGTGAATGCAATATATTTTCATAGAAGCCCAGCCTAGAGAAGTATGAAATGATGAAATAAAGAGGGGAATGGATTTTTAACTATCTCTTTAAATTAGCAGTAAGACTCTAGATATAACAATGGTTTTAGAAATCAGAATATAATATTGCAGAATGCACTTCTGACTGGAAGGCACATGACAGCAACAGTTGTGAATAAAATTCCTACACAGTCTACTACATTACAAAAGAATAACAGAAAATACTGCTAGAATTGCAAAATCTGTCTGCTCTAGTTAGAATTACAACCTAATTTAAATGAGTCCAGTGAACCTACAGAAGAAAGAATCCATTTTCATCAAAGTGGATTCAGCTTGTGGCATGCTGTGTGTGGTTGTGGCCGGAGTCAGAGCCCACTGGGACTGGCAGCCCCTGCCATCAGTGTCTGTCATGGAGCAGACATTTCTCTCTTTATATTATCAACCAGCTCCAGGCTCCTGGGCCGGTCAGGCTGCAGTGAAACGCTGACAGTGAACTGTTGCACAGAGAGACCTGTAAGAGGCTCTCACTCTGTATTTAAAGAGCCCAGGAGCTGCAGGAAGACAGTGTTCCTGCCTCTTCTAAGTGGCATGTATGAAGAGACATCTGATTTAGCAGCTCTGACAGCTCACAGGAAACTTGACCCAGACAGAAACAGAATGTGAAATAACAGGAGCTCTCATCCTTGAATTTAAAAAAGAGGAGTGGGGGACTAAGAATTCTGAGTGTCCCTGGTCGCAAGGCTTTGTTTGGTGAGTTAAATGCACACTTTCATTTAACTTACCAAAACACCATGTATGCTTATAGAATTTAAATATTGTATCATTAATCCTGTAGTAAATAGGTAGTTGTGAAGAAAAAAAAAATCTTTTATCATAGGAACTGAAGCAGCAATTAAAACACAGCAATAAAAACTGTACCCTAGAATTCTGCGACTTAGTTTCAAAATTTGTTTTGACCACTTAGCTGCGATGAGAACTTTGACAAGTTTTTAAAATTTTCTGTTCCTCTGTTTTCTTCATCTGAAAATATGCAGATAATGCTCATATTTTGTTGTAAGAGTCAAATAAGATCCTCTTAATTGCTTAGTCAATTATCTAATGTTTAGTAATGGCTCAGAAAATATTTAAAGTTATTTTCCATTTGTCATCAAAATCTATGCTCATTCTAAAATGTCACTTGACCTCCTGTATTTGAGTGTGCTGGTCATAATATCCATTGAAATATGCTTTTCAATGCTTCTATAATCTGCATATTTATGTATTTGTGGAAACCCAGTTTTACCTCTACTGATTAAGAGGTACTATTTGATGAGTTTTAAGTAATTCATTATTAAAAATGGAAAAATTAATATGTAGCTTTATAGTATCAGGAATTGTGACTAAAGAGCAACAAAGACACAGAAAATATTTTGTAAAAGTAAGAAAGATATGAGCTTTAAAAAAGTACAGAAACAGATTAAATGCTTCAAAAAAAAGATATATTTGTGTGTCAATAGCTGGAATGACTCACAGGTACCTTGAACTTAATGTATTGAAAAAAAAAGAACCAATATACTTCCCCACTTATACTGCAACTTGGCTCTTCAGTCTATTTTGTAATGGATTAATAGCCTATTAATATTAATCATCTGTTCTTATTGGAACCAAATCTTTGTGAATTACACAGCATTAGAAAAATATGTTTGAAAATGTTTGAAAAATATATTTAAATGTTTTCATACATTGAAAGTTTTTGTTCAACAATATTTAACTAATGCTTACCATGAGCATTCACTTTTTTTTAACTTTATAAATAACGTTGAACAAAAAGCAATTATTCTTCCCATAAGGAGTTTACAGTCATTGCAGAAAAAAGCAGATCTACACAGAATACAATGAAAAATTCTAAACACAATAACAATACAAAACAAAGCCAAAAAAGAAGCAGTGGAGATAACTGGAGATTCAAGAAAAACATCCAAGCATTATTTCTGCAGTCGGTAATACAGCTTCCCAAGATAATTACATTGAGATCATTCACATCTCCCCCAGTTCTTCAAACCCCTGTTCCAATGTTGCCTTCTCAAGTAATCCATGTAAAATTTTAACACTCCTCCAATGAGAAGAGGGTTGGGCCTACCTTATTAATTTTTCACACTAATGAAATAAGTTTTACTAATTATTAATTATAAATATGCATTATATAACATGGTATAAATTTTAATACATAACCTGGTTATTATTACTTATAAATAATTCGATTTATTATTAATACATATCAACAGCTGGTCTACTGCATGTTAACATATACATTTTTTTCTATCATACACTAGAATGAAGATCTGAAAAGGAAGAGATTATCTCCTCTTTAATGCTGTATCCCAAAGCCTAGAAGAACCAGAGACTTACTAGCTAATCAATAAATATTGCTGAGTAAATAAATGACAGACATTTGCATGCAGGCCTCAAGGAGCAGCTGAAGTGATAGAGGTAGAATGAGGCAATAAATTATTAGCAAAGAGAGCGGAGTATTTACAGGCAGCGATATACTAATGAACCTAAAAATTTGGAGAATATTTGGAAAAATAAAAGAGCTTGCATCCCTGGAATGCAACGAAAAGAAAAGTGCTCAAAAAGTGATAATATACACAGTGTCAATTTGTTCACTGCTTTTTTGGAATGTTTGAAATTTATTGTAAGTAGATCATTTATCCATTAGAGTGACTAAGTGTTTTAAGAGTATAGTTCTATAATCCCATTCAATTAGCTTTTATTTAATGGGTTCCTTCTGGTGGTGGACATTTGAGTTGTTTACAGTTATTAAGAATAAAACTACTATAAACATATATCAACAAGTCTGTGTGTGTACCTATATTACATTACTCTGGGATAATGAAATTGTAAAATAGTTGAGTCATACAATAAATATACTATATTTCTAAATTTATAAGAAATTTCCATAAAGTTCCCTAAAATAATCTCATTCCACATTTCTACCAGCATTATGTTAGGATTCCACATTTTTCCCATGCTCAGCAAACTTGGTAATTTTAGAATTTCTAGCTGGTGTGTAGTTACACATCATTATGGTTTTAATTTGCATTTTCTTAATGAGTAATGATGTGTTTATGCTTATTGGTTATTCATATATTTTCTTTTGTGAACTGTCTAAACAATTTTTTGCATATTTTAAGAGAAATGCGTATCTTCTATTACTGAGTTTTAACTGTTCTTCATACTTCCTAAACAGAGGTTTCTTTCAATCTTTGGCAATAAATCTGTGTGTGAATTAGAGAGAGTATTTGAAGTTTGGGACATTTTTATCTCTTGCTTCACAATTAATTCCCCCTGGGCTCTCTTGATTTTGCCTTGCACATGTATATAGTTTTCCAGATAGTCAGGGATGCATGAGGAGTTATATAGCTTTCTATGCCTCTCTAATTTCAAAGATTCCACTAATTTTTTGGCAGAATTATCACTGACTCAACCAAGATGCTAATTCCAGGCCAGCACAGTCATGGGTTTCCTCATTGTTTCTTACAGACTGTGCTTTATTTTCTGACAATGTCACCAGGCATGGGTATTTACCTTCTGCTGAAAATCAAATCTGCCCTCTTAGCAGTGAAGCTGCTTTTTATCCTTTTCCAGCCCCACTGTAGTAATATTAACAAATCAAACTTGGCAGGGTAGAGGTTTCGGGTTAAGGGAAGGGTAAATGGAATGGCTTCAGGCAAGAAGCCTACAGATTCCCACTGTTTTCCCCATTATTCAACAGTTTTTCTTGAATAAACACTTACCAACTTGTAACTTTGTACATTTCCAGGGATGTAAAATTGTGGAGGTTTTCTTGGCAATATTTGCCAGTTTTTAACTTGTATTCTTGGATGGGGGGAGACAATTTGCCAATATCTACTGTCTATTATAGCTAGAAATTAAAAGTCTACTTGATGTGTTTGATGCTATTTTAAATATTATTTTAAATTTTCTTTTTTGTTGTTGTTACTTTTATTAATGCTATTTAGAAATGCCATTAATTTTTAATAATGTAATATCAAGTAAGGTTGTTTAATTTAGTTTTTCATGCTAATATTTCTTTTGTAGGCTTTTCTAGATTGTGTACTTGCACAGTCATATGACCATGAGTAATGGCAAGGTTATTTCACTTTATTCAATCTCATTCATTTCCTTTTCTTGCATTTTAGACCATTTAACTTATCAAGTATGACTTTGAATTGAATTAGTGATAACAAGTATCTTTGTCACATTTTTGTTCTTAGAGGGAAATAATTAATACGTTATATCAAATTAAGAATGCCTTATTAGGGGAGTGTGAGGAAGATGGTGGATAGGAGACAGGGCTAATATACAGCTTCCACTTGAACAGAAAGAACAATGTGTGGAGACTCACACCATGAACTTTTGCTTGAAGAACCACTGCAGGAATATACCAGAAAAAAAAAAAAAAAAGAATTCACAAATCCTTTGAAAAAAGTGGCATACTGCTGCAAGTTTCATGAGACAGGAGAAAAATGTGAGTTCTAAAAGTGTGAGGGGGGAATCTACCTTTGAACACACATCCTCACTGGGAATCTAAAAATCCACATCATTGGAGAAGGATTTAATCTGTAATAGAGCTCAAGTGAATATAAAGAGCTGCACAAAATACAAAAGTAGAAGCAGCAGTGGGAAGAGTATTATAGTCATTCCCAGTCTCCAGCTTGAGACCAGGAAAGCCATCTCTGACTATACCTCACATGGACCCTCAGGGAAGGCAGCCAGCAGAATTCAAAAAAGGGTTCCAGGATAAAAGAAGTTTCCAACTGAAATTTGTAACAATTTCTACTGGGCACAATTTTTCTTGAGAAGAATCTGGAGCGTGAATGGGAATTACTTCAGATATGAATACAGGAGCCTCTGCCATCAGATCTGCCCAGTGTGGGCAGATGGGGAGGGTCAAGGCCTGAAATCCATGCTTGCTTTCTTAGTGGTGAAGCTTAAGGCCTGGGGCAAGGTCTAAGCAGGGGACTGCAGGAGCAAGACCAGCCTCGCCAACTGCGTGGGAACTGGGTGAGGACCTTTGCTCCTGGCTATCCCCCAGTTCTCTGGAAAACTATATGACACAGCAGAGACAGCCATAATCCCATCTGGAACATACCCCACTGGCCTGAGAACCACCCCCATAAGAGTGGCTGCAACAAGCCCCACTCAAGAAGAGTCTGAACCCAGACCCACCCAACCCTGCTACCATCTGATAGCCCTGGTAGCCAAACACAAAAGACATAAACTCTTTGGAGCTTTATGGCCCTGCCCATCACCTGAGAAACTAGATTACTTACCCTAACCAACTTAGTGCAAGTTTACATCCCTCTAATACTACCACAGCTGGTGCTCTCTTGAAGGCACCACCTCCTGGCAGGAGACCAACCAACTCAGGCCATCACAGCAATGCATGACAGAATAACGCTGCTCCCAGGAAAGAGAAAACAACAGCTAGTTCCACTGCCTGCAAAATCCTGGCTAACCAGAGTTCCTGAGTTTGTCCATGTGACAACGTCACTGCTAGCATAACAAGCTTTTGAGAAAGCCAGCATGCTAAACATTTCTACAACCAAGAATTCTCACAGAGTCTACTTCACTCTCCTGACACTTCCACCAGAGCAGGTGCTGATAACCACAGCTGGGAGACCTGAAGATGGATCACATCACAGGACTCTGCAGACATTCCCCAGCACCAGCCCAGAGTCTGATAACCCTGCTGGGTGGTCAGACCCAGAAAAGCAATAACAATCACTGCAGTCTGTCTCTCAGGAAGCCCCATTCCTAGAGGAAGGGGTAGAGCAACATATCAAGGGATCCCCCCTTGGGACAAAAGAATCTGAAGAGCAGGCTTTGAGTTCCAGATCTTTCTGCTGAAATAGTCTACCCAAATGAGAAGAAAATAGAAAAGTAATTCTGGTAATGTGACAAAACAGGGTCCGATAACACCCCCAAAAGATCACACTAGCTCCCCAGCAATGGATCTAAGCCAAGAAGAAATATCTGAATTGCCAGATATATATAGAAAGTTGATTATTAAGCTACTCAAGCAGATACCAGAGAAAGGTTAAAAAAGCAACTTAAAGAAATTAAGAGAAATACAGGATATGGATGAAAAATCCTCCAGAGAAATAGATATCATAAAGAAAAAAAAAATCACAACTTCTGGAGATAAAAGACACACTTAGAGAAATGTAAAGTGGACTGGAAAGTTTCGACAATAAACTAGAACAACAAGAAGAAAGAGCTTCAGAACTCAAAGACAAAGCTTCTGAATTAACCCAATCAGATGAAGACAAAGAAAAAGGAATCCACCCCCCACCAGAAAAAAAAGAACAAAGTCCCCAAGAAATTTGGGATTATGTGAAATGGCCAACCCTAAGAATAATTGGTTTTCCTGAAGAAGAAGAGAAATCTAAGATTTCTGTAAGTTTGGAAAACTTACTTGAAGGAATAATAGACGAAAACTTTCCTGGTCTTGCTAGAGAGATAGCCATCTAAATATAAGAAACTCACGGAACACCTGGAGAATTTACCACAAAAAGATCATCACCTTAGCACATAGTCCTCAGGTTATCTAATGTCAAAATGAAGGAAAGAATTTTAAGAGCAGTGAGAAAAAAGCATCAGTTTACCTGATTAACAGCGGATTTATCAGCAGAAAACTTACAAGCCAGAAGGGATTGGGGTCCTATCTTTAGCCTCCTGAAACAAAATAATTGCCAATTAAGAATTTTTTTCCAGCAAAATTAAGCTTTATAAATGAAGGAGCAATAGTCTTTTTAAGACAAACGAATGCTGAGAAAATTTGCCACTATCAAGCCAGCGCTACAATAACTGCTAAAAGGAGTTCTAAATCTTAAAACAAAACCATAAAATACACCAAAATAGGACCTCTTTAACCATAAATCTCACATGTTCTATAAAACAATAACACAATGAAAAAAATTAAAAAAAAGATATTAAAGCAACAATTAACATGATTAATAGAACGGTGCCTCACATCTCAATACTAACATTAAATGTAAATGGCTTAAATGCTCCACTTAAAAAATACAGAATGGTAGAATGGATGAAAATCCACCAACCAAGTATCTGCTAACTTCCAGTGTCTCACCTAACCCATAAGGACTCACACAAATTTAAGGTAAAGGCATGGTAAAAGATATTCCACATAAATGGAAACCTAAAGTAAGCAGGAGTAACTATTCTTATATCAGTCGAAACAGACTTTAAGGCAACAACGGTAAAAAAGATGAAGAGAGACATTATATAGTGATAAAAGCATTAGTTCAACAGGAAAATATCACAATTCTAAACATGTGTGCATTCACAATTCTAAACGTATGCATGTAACACTGGAGTCCACAAATTTTAAAACAATCACTAGTAGAGTTAAGAAATCAGATAGCAAAACAATAGTAGTGTGGAACATCAATACTCCACTGACAGCACTAGACGTTTCATCAAGTCAAATTTAACAAAAAACAATGGACTTAAACTACACCCTTGAAAAAAATGGACTCAACAGATATTTCCAGAACATTCTACCCAACAACTGAAGACTACACATGCTTTTCATCAGCACATGGAACATTCTCCAAGATAGGCCAGATGATAGGTCACAAAACAAGCCTCAAAATTTAAGAAAACTGAAAATATGTCAAGTATCCTCTCAGACTACAGTGGAATAAAAGTGGAAATTTACTCCAAAGGAAATCCTGAAAACTATACAAATACATGAATATTAAACAATGTACTCTTGAATGATCTTTGGATCAACAATAAAATCAAGATGAAACTGTAAAAATTATTTAAACTGAATAAGAGTGACACAACTTATCACAACCTCTGGGATATAGAAAAAGCAGTGCTAGCCTACATCAAAGAAACTGAAAGAGCACAAATAGATAACCTAAAGTCACACCTCAAGGAACTAGAGAAACAAGAACAAACCAAACCCAAACCCAGCAGAAGAAAAGAAGTAACAAAAATCAGAGTAGAACTAAATGAAATTGAAACAAAATAATACAAAATATAAATGAAACAAAAAGCTAGTTCGTCAAAAAGATAAATAAAATTCATAAACAACAGCATATAAAAAAGATAATATGCCAGGATCAAGTGAGTTTCATATCAGGGATGCAGGGTTTGTTTAACATATGCAAGTCAATAAATGTAATACATTAGATAAACAATTAAAAACAAAAACCATATGATCATCTCAATAGATGCAGAAAAAGCATTTAGTGAAATCCAGCATCCCTTTATGATTAAAACATCCAGCAAAATTGGCATTGAAAGAACTTACCTCAAGGTTAATAAAAGCCATTCATGGCAAACCCATGGCCAACATTATGCTGAATGAAGATAAGTTGAAGGCATTACACCTGAAAAATGGAAGAAAACAAGGATGCCCTGTTTCACTACACCTATTCAACATAGACCTGGAAGGCCTAGCAAGAGCAGTCACATAAGGGAAATAAATAAAAGGCATCCAAATTGGCAAAGAGGAAGTTAAATTGTCACTGTTTACTAATGATAAGATCATACTGAGAAAAATCCTAAAGACTCCTCCCAAAGACTCCTAAATCTGATAAATAAATTCAGTAAAGTTGCAGGATACAAAATCAATGTACACAAATCAGTAGCACTGCTATACATCAACAACAATCAAGCTCAGAATCAAATCAAGAAGTCATTCCCTTTACAACAGCTGCAAAAAATAAAATAAAATACTTAGGAATATACCCAAGCAAGGAAGTAAGAGATCTCTACAAAGAAAACTACAAAACATTGCTGAAAAAAATAATCTATGACACAAACAAGTGGAAACACATCCCATGCCCATGGATGGGTAGAATCAATATTGTGAAAATGACCACACTGTCAAAAACAATCTAAAGATTCAATGCAATTCTCATAAAACTACCATCATCACTCTTCACAGACATAGAAAAAAACAGTCTTAAAATTCATATGGAACATAAAAAAAAAGAACCCTCATAGCCAAAGCCAGACTAAGCCAGAACAAATCTGGAGGGAGGAATTGCATTACCCAACTTCAAATATACTGCAAGGCTATAGTTACCAAAACAGCATGGTACTGGTATATAAATTGGCACATAGACCAATGGAACAGAATGGATAACCAAGAAATAAAGCCAAATTTAGCCAAAGGATCTTCAATGAAGGAAACAATACCATAAAGTGGGTGCTGGGGTAATTGGCAAGCCACATGTAGAAGAATGAAACTGGATCCTCATCTCTCACCTTACCAAAAATCTACTCAAGATGGATCAAACACTTAAATCTAAGATCTAAATCCATAAAAATTCTAGAAGATAACATCAGAAAAACCCTTCTAGACATTGGCTTAGGCAGAGACTTCATGACCAAGAACCCAAAAGCAAGTACCACAAAAACAAAAATAAATAGTGTACATCCTCATTGTCTTCATGTTAAGTAGGCTGAGCAGAAGAGGAACAGAAGGGGATTGGTCCTCCTATCTCAAGGGTGGCAGAGATGGAAGAAAACTTATGTATAATGGGACTTGTGCAGCTCAAGCTTGTGTTGTTCAAGGATCAACTAAATATTATTTTGGTAATTAAATTTATGTTGAGTTTTATAGAATGATTCTCTCATCAGATAGTCATATTTTTTCTTTGTATTAATGTGTATATTTATTTCGTTGTTTTTATTGAAATAAGATTGCATTACTCAGTTAAGTCGTACTTGTTTATGAAGTTTTGAATATCTTGTAATTTTATGTATTTGATTCTTTATTATTATTTTTTAAATTTCAGATTCTATATTTGTGAGAGAAATGGTCCTGTTATCATCTTTTTATTGTGTACCTTTATTAGAGTTTTGGCATCAAGATTCTATGGGTCTCATAAAATAGTTGAAAAATTGTAATACATGGAAGAGTTATTAAAAACTACTACAATTTTTTTTTCTCTTAAATGAATGGATGAATTCAACCAACAAAACCATGTGGGCCTAGAGATTTTTTTGTGGGAAGGTTTTCAACTGAAAGTTTATTTTGCTTATTGGGTATGGACTATAGTGGATTTGTGTTTATTCTTGTGTTCATTTGGTAAGTTCTGTTTTATTATGAATTTTTATCTTTTTCATCTAAGTGTATTTAATAAGCTTTTTCATAGTATCTTCATTATCTGTTTAACATTTGACACATAGTTGATACTTCAGTGTCTACTAAGGAAGTTATTGATATACACTAATCTGAATATAACATTTCAGATTAATAACAAGTTCTTAAAAAAATAAATGAAAGGCAAAAATATACTGAAAAGTCTTGCTATTCTGAGATATAATCATATATGTAACTAGATCTTCAATTTTTCAAATTTTCCTATAAAATTTTACATGTTTTAATTTCTTTTTTTTTTTTATTATACTTTAAGTTTTAGGGTACATGTGCACATTGTGCAGGTTAGTTACATATGTATACATGTGCCGTGCTGGTGCACTGCACCCACTAACTCGTCATCTAGCATTAGGTATATCTCCCAATGCTATCCCTCCCCCCTACCCCCACCCCGCCACAGTCCCCAGAGTGTGATATTCCCCTTCCTGTGTCCATGTGATCTCATTGTTCAATTCCCACCTATGAGTGAGAACATGCGGTGTTTGGTTTTTTGTTCTTGCGATAGTTTACTGAGAATGATGGTTTCCAGTTTCATCCATGTCCCTACAAAGGACATGAACTCATCATTTTTTATGGCTGCATAGTATTCCATGGTGTATATGTGCCACATTTTCTTAATCCAGTCTATCATTATTGGACATTTGGGTTGGTTCCAAGTCTTTGCTATTGTGAATAATGCCGCAATAAACACATGAAAAAATGCTCATCACCACTGGCCATCAGAGAAATGCAAATCAAAACCACTATGAGATATCATCTCACACCAGTTAGAATGGCAATCATTAAAAAGTCAGGAAACAACAGGTGCTGGAGAGGATGTGGAGAAATAGGAACACTTTTACATGTTTTAATTTCTAAGATAATTGAGACACTTTGACTTTTGGCATCTTAAATCAAAGTTTATATGAAAAAAGAATGGCTTCTAAAAGATATTATTTATGTTTAGAATATTTTGATTTTAGCTTTAGCAAAATAACTATTTTATTAAATATCATATTTGATAGTTAATAATTATAGTTTATTAATAACTATCTTATTTTATCTAATTTAATTTCTCACCTTTTATTGTTACTTTATAAGAACATTTTAATTAATTAGAATGTTTTTATTGCTTGGAATCAACAGTTGTTTATAGTTTGTTAAAAAATTGAAAATATGAGCACATTTTGCATTGAATCACTGATGAATCATTAAAATTATAATGCTCCTAAATCATAGTATTATTACAAGAATTTATAAAGCAATTAGACATTATAGGTATTTCATATATATATTATATATTATATATATTATATATAACATATAATATTTTCCACCTCAAATGAGTATTCTGAAATTGGATCTTATTAATATTCAGATTAACCCAGGAAACTGAGTCTCAGCAGATTCTAACAGAATGGAGGGGCTATTAACCAAGATATGTTATTAAAACCTTTGAGAATATCCAAGCTCATTGCCCCCATGTAATGTATACTTCATAATTAATAGAGGCCAAAAGAGTGGTTTGAGATGGTGATACACCCTGTAGAATAGGCTCATTCTCTTCCTATGTGGTTTTCTCTTGTACACCAGCTTTGAAACACAAGTAATTAATTTTTTTTACCTCATTTCAGCAAAGTCACAAACTAGTATGAAAAGTCAGAAATTTTCTGTGTTTCCCAAAGATAGCTAAAACTATAATTGTGCAATCTTTGAATGACAACACTACATTCCAAATCCTATTTTATTTTCAGTATAATATGGAAAGAAAAATCTACTTTTATTAATAATTATTTGCATCTCAATGTATTCATGAATAAGCAGACTACTCCATATTAATATAATATTAACAACTTTATTATAGTTCATACAAAAGTAACAAATACATCAAAATATTCACAAAATATAAAATTTGTATATCTGTGTGTGTATTCATGTATTAATATTTTGGATGTTTCTCTGGAAAGAGGCATTAATCCTTGTCTTACTCTGAATTTAAATCTTCTTCTCTCTTTATGGTGACCAGAAGTCAAATTACATTAACAGGACAAGGAAAAAAAAAAAAAAAACTAGTGTGCATAGCTCTTTAAGAGCATCACATCAAATTAGCTGGGCTGTACTTTCAGTTGCCTATCAAATACATAACTTTTTTACAGTAAACTTGATATACCCTCTTGTGTACTAGAAGGCATAATTGCTTTTATAAATTGAAAAGATATTTCTAACTTCAAACCTCAATCAAAAATCTTTATCTTTACTTGAAACAGTCCCATCTCTCCCGATCCTGCTATCAGTTTCTTTAAATGTTGATATTAATAATATAGTTAGCATCGGGCAGTTAACTAGAGACAAGTATGAATATCTGCTACTGTGTGTATTACCATTTATCCTAGAATAGTTTACATTGATGTTTTATACTCATTTTAATTGCATCTTCACAGAAACTTTATGTAGCTGTCTCTGACTTATGAAAACCTGATTTACTGATGCCTCCACCCATAAATCATTGCTACTGCTGCTTCTTCTCTTTCTACTCACTCTTCGTGACCATAGTACCTTTTACCCTTTTACCACAACTATGGAGGCCATATAAAAGCTAGTCAAACAAACAAGAAAAAAAAAAAAACTAAACACTAAGCACAAAAAAATTCAAAAGATAAATAAAATGCTTTTAAAGAATCAGTGGTAAGAAGTGGAAAAAAACAATAAACAAGGAGAGAACATTGACAATATTTCTTAAATGGCGGTCACTAGTTCCACTTTTATCAGAATTCTCTCTTTCGATTGTTAAAATGCAGATTTCCAGGTTTTACCTCAGTTGTATTGAGTCAGATTCTCTAAGCTACACTACCAGAATGTATTAACATTTAAGTTAAAACTCCACTGATGTTGATTTAGAAAATGTAATAACTCAACTTGATAGACTCAGATGGGAGCCCATGAACCTGCATTTTAAACAATCATTTATTTTAATGAAGTTATTTATTCTGCAAACATTTTTTCTAATACTCCCCAGTAGAATCAGAGGACTGACAGGCTCGGAATCTTAATTTTTGAAATGAAAAAGTAATTTTAGGAAAATAGCGTTTAGGGGGTGATAATGCTAGCCTGGCTGAAATATTATGTGTGACGTTTGCCTGAGGTTACTTTGTCACTAAAAAGATGGATATTCAGACTTGGAATACTTGCATTAACCAAGGGTTGATGCATAAACAGTGTTAGTCTTCTTCTTAACTTTGGCTTGATGAGAAAATTAAAGATTCTTGTAATATTCTGATAAAAAATAGCCTCCTTTCCCAAGATGCTAGAATATTGTTTTTCACAAAAATGGAAAATTATTGTATTCCAAATGTAAAAACAGAACTTTGCAAGTGCACATTTCTAGGAGTTCTTGATCATGGGAATGACATTTTTAAAGCCCATGCAGAGATAGGGCTTGAGAATATAGGCTTTATGTGAGGGAAGGAGCTGGAGGTGGTTATTTGCATAAAGGAGAGAGTTGAAATACACTACTCTCTCATCCATAAATGGAAATCCATCTCTGGGTGGACAACCTTAAGAGTGCTATGGATAAGATTAGAACTTGTCTTATTTTCTACAGCTGTATACTGAATTACTCAAAAAGTTATTGGCTTAAAACAGCAGCAATAAATATCTCAGTTTCTAAGGGTCACGGACACACAAGTGTCTTAGCTGAATGGTCGTGGGCCTTGGTTTCTTAAGTGGTAACAAGTCAGAGTACATTCATCTGATGGCTTGCCTGGGTTGATAAATTCAATTTCTTTCTTTCCTTTTTTTTTCTTTTGAGACAGAATCTTGCTCTATTGCCCAGGCTGGAATACAGTGGCACCATCTTGGCTCACTGCAACCTCTGCCACCCGGGCTCAAGCAGTTCTCCTGCCTCAAGCCTCAAGAATAGCTGAGACTATAGATGTGTGTCACCACGCTTGGCTAATTTTTGTGTTTTTTAGTAGAGATGGGGTTTCACCATGTTGGCCAGGCTGGTCTTGAACTCCTGACTTCAGATGATCCCACCACCTCAGCCTCCCAAAGTTCTGGGATTACAGGCATGAGCTACTGCACCAGGCCAGGAATTCACTTCTAATCCACACATGCCTGGCAAGCTGAGCTGGTTATTGGCACAAAACCTCAGTTTCTCACTATGTCAATGTCTCCATGTTGGGCCTGTTGACATAGTGGCTCATTTTCTCTAGAACAAGTGATCCAAAAGATGACACAGTGGAAGCTGCAATGTCTTATGACCTATCATTGGAAGTCACATGCAATAATTCCCATGATAGCCTTTTGGGTAATATTTACTGTAAGCCCTATTCTGGGTTAGAAGAATGCACAGGATTTCAAGTGAATACAAGGAGGCAATGATTATTCAGGGATTATTTTAGGAGCTGACCAGTCCAGAACCCAAACTGTTTCACTATTCTTAGCAGATATAAAGCCTAAACTGAAGTTATCTATGTGTTACAGAAATTTCAGCCCACAGACTTTACTTATGGAGATACTAGTTCTAAGCCATTCCCCCTGAGGTAGTCAAACATGCAAGTTATGTAGTACAGCAAAAATACAGCTAGTAAAGGGAATGAGCACAACCTATGGGTTCTAGCCAAATAGGAGCCATTTTTGTTAGTTTGTTTATTTCCTAGTAATCCTTTAAAATTTATTCAATAGAAAGTGCATTAACCTTCCTGTGGCTAAACATTTGTTCACTTTCCATGAGATTTCTGATAAATCATAGGTAACAGAAAATTTTGCATTAGCCTTAAATAGCAAACATAATATTTTCTTTTTTTTAATGGCCAAAGCAGTTTACCAGCTTTTGGCATTTGAGATGAGGGGCACAAGGGAGATAGACGTGGAAAGACAGACTTTCTTCCCTGTCCTTGTTTTTAACTGCTATTACTCATTTATTGAAACACAGTAAGGATAAATGGTATTAGGAAAGGGATATCTTTCCTCAACCAGCATTCTTGCAAGCTGGGGAAATGTTTAAATCTCACCCTTTCTCTTATTCAAACTTGGATGATCTCTTCACAATAGTCCAATTACCTCCTGGATTGGATTTAAGAGAGCTCAGACCAACTCCCTGTTTTGTGTGGTCCACATCTGTTCTACATTAAAAACTCACACATTCTCTAGCCCATTATCTTGTAATATGAAGGTAGTTATTTCTTTAATGGAAAGCAATTCAACTTTGCTGTGATTTCCCCCAGACATCATGGATTGAACTTAGACTCCGGAGAACATTTCTGAAGTCCTCTGAGTAAGCTTCTTGAAGCACCCTTCACTAGACTAGAGGTAAGGAGTAGAAAAGAATCCCTGCCCCTTAGGAAGCTGAACCATATTTAGATTCATAGAAATTTGAAGACCCCTCCCAAAGTCTCCTCAAAATTGTCCTCTCCAATTTCACATTCTAGATTCTTTTACAGCCTCAATCTGTTATGGTGTACATGGACCAACGGTTATAAAATTGTATGTTAAAGGTTAAGCATACAACATCTGTTTAATTTCAAAACTCAGATCAAAATGCCCATGTTAAGGACTTTATCATAATATATTTGTCTGGCCTGAATGCCATCACCTGCCTTACTCTCATAATGTAAGAGATATCCAAAATATCCAAAGAGTCTCTCTCTCCTTTTTTTTAAATTCCAAGTTAGAATCTAGATTCCAAAGATAAGCCTTATTTGACTACAAGCCAGTGATCTCTGGTTACAGACTTTACTTCTGTTCTGGTTATTTCTGTCACTCTCTATTTTTTTGTTTTTATTTTAACTTCTAATGTCTTCTTTTTAGGATGATGAATGATTCAAAGTATAACTAATTGAGAAAAATATGTCAAAGAGGGTGAGTTCAAGATAATAGGGGAGAGGCATTGTAATTATTTCAAATATATTGTAAACATCACGTATTAGCCCATATTAAGGGCTTAACATTAACTATTAATATGCTTAGGGCTATCTTTCCTTAGATCTTTGCTTGGCTAATCTTTTCATCCTTTTCAAGTTTTTACTTAAATCTCACCTTGTAAATGAACTTGCTCTTAATAATTTAATACTGTAATCTTTCTCACACCTTCCCCATTTTTTACTCCTAGTATTTTATATGTTATTCTAGAATTTCCATGCAATATTTATCACCTTCTTATATACTATGTAGTTGATTTCTTTATTAGATCGTATATTATCTATATTGGGAGACTGTATATGCAAATAAACAATGGCCAGACCAAATATAAAAATAGAACACTGACTGACACCTGGCAGCAACCTGTCTAGGAAAACATCTCCTTATAATAAACAGCCCAGGAAGCCAGTCTGCTGTAAATCAGACTTGTAACAATTCAGACTCCTGTCTCCAGTAATGATCCAGGAAACAAAACAATAAATTTCATAGCAAACAGCCCAAAATGGTCACGACTTAATAACTGACAGTTTATGTAATTTTTATTCTGCTTCCAACTTAGGACCAACAAGAAAAGCCAAACATACATCCCTAATCAATCGCACAGAATGCCTGCTTCTCATTAACCCGCCTAGACCTCCCCATGCCCACCGCCTCCAATGAGGTAATACTTGAAGCCTTGCATTTTTTCCACTATAAATCTTTCCCTGTCTTCTGTCTGCCTTTGATTGTTTGCCAAAATGTAAGCGACAGAGGCTCTTTTACTATAGCAAGGTGTGAATAAATAACATTTAATTATTCTAATTTAGTTGGTTGGTCATCATTTATATTTATAGTATCCTTACCCTAAATCTCCTCACTTTCTGAACATGATGGTCAATTTTATGTGCCAATTAGTCTGGGTCATAGTGCCCAGATATTTATTTGGTCAAACATTATTCTAGATGTTTCTGTAAGGGTTTTTTGTTTTGTTTTTTGTTGTTGTTGTTGTTTTTGTTTTTAAATTAACTTTAAATCAGTGGATTTAAAGTAAAGTAGTTTGTCCTCCATAATGTTGCTGAAACTCATCCAATTAGTTAAAGGCCTTAATAGGACCAATGACTGCCCTATCCCAGAGTAAGAAAGAATTCAGGCTTGAATTACAACATCAGCCCTTCCCTGAGTCTCCAGCCTGTCAACCTATCTGGCCAATTTTGGACATGTCAACCTCCATAAGCCTCCTTTCTTTGTTTTAAATAACCAATTCCTTAAAATATATTTCTCTCTCTCTCTCTCTCTCTACACACACACACACACACACACACACACACACACACACACAATGAGTTCTGTTTCTTTAAAGAACCATGATTAATATACCAAATACAACAAATCAACCACCCTCCCAATCTGCCATGTTGGAATAAAGCTCCATGAAGGAAGGCTTTGGGTCACTTTTGTCCATTGAGTGTCTTACTCTATTTGAGCTGTTCTAACAAAGTATCGTAAACTAGATAGCTTCTCAACAACAAAAATGTTATCTCTAACAGTTTTTGAGGCTAAGAAGCTCAGTATTAAGGCACTGGTAAATTTGGTGTCTGGCGAGGGCCCACTTTCTTGTAAATGGCTCCTTCTCCCTGTGTCCTCACATGATTGAAGAGGCAAACAAGCTCCCTCAGGCCTATTTTATAAAAACACTAATCCCATTCCTGAGAGTGAAGCCCTCATCATCTGATCACCCCCTAAAACCTCACCTCTGAATACCCCAGGTGTTAGGATTTCCACATATAAATTTTGAGGGGATACATTCAGACCATGGCACTAATATATCCCAACTGGTTAATATTGTGTCTAGTATATCATAAATAGGTAATGCATAATGGTTGAATAAATATATAACAATCTTTCTGGACTATACAGTTTGGTGTTTTAGGTTTGCATCTGTCAAAGATGCTGAAGGAGGAGAAGAAAAAGAGAGAGATAAAAGAAAGAGAGAGATTACACCAGACAGCCTCTAAACTCCCTTTGATAACCAAGGTCTCATGAGTCCAAGAAATAATCAAATAAAAGCCACTGAATATTGCCTAGGCTTACCTCTGCTTTCTATTAAGCTACAAGCAAAATAAAAAGGAAACCAGCATCATACTTCTTATTAATGGAATTTCATGAGCACATTTCATCTCAATTTATATTTCATGGCATCCAGGTGCTAAGTGCAGTTTCAAGCATACTCTACTCTCCCATAAATTATACAGTAAATCATCACTTGGTAATGGGCACTTTATTTTTCATGCTGATTTCCTTAAGTGCTGCACTCTGAGGTCTCTCAGTCATGGCCATATGCTTTTCTTTACTTTCACATATTTGAATATAGAGCCATAGTGATAGCTCCAAGATTTTTTTTTACCCTTTTCTATAAACCGTGGGTTACTCAAAATTGTTCTTTCAGATTAAGAACAGAGTAGAAATCTTCTGCAGAAAACTAACATGAAGCACACTGTTTTTTATCCTTTTATCACCCCTGCTGAGAGTCATGTGAATAAGATTTTCCTGAAAAAGATGAAAAGAAAGTATGACAACTTTTGATTCAAAAATGCCTTGTAAAGTAGAAACATAGTTCAGGAAAAATGTATTTCAATTCCTAAGAACTTTGACACATTAAAATATGTGTTATTTTATTTGTTTTGCTTGGATTGGCTTTTGTTTTCTGTCACTCTTTTGAGTGTAGACAGACTGGATGTCAGTAGATATGGGATGAATGGTAAATTATGGTTGAAAAATAGACATTATTTAAAATTTCAATGCTATAGACTAATAAACTATTCTGTTCCCTCATATTCTTTACAAATATTCATCAAAATTAGTTCATTTCATTGTCACAACCAAATCCCTAGGCGATCCTGGGCTGCTGTCTGGGAAATGTTTCTCTTTGCTGCTAATTCCTTCTATTGTTTTTTGGCCTATTCCCAACTATTCAATTTTCCTTGCCTCAAACTTTTAGTTGTAATCATTTAGTTTTCTAACATTCTTCAAAACTACCTTAGAATAAAATATATTTTCCCCTTTAAAATTTTGTTACCTAATTTTCAAATCTCACATGTACCCATTATGTCTAGTTATGGATTGGCAGGACTTAAACTGTGAGAAGACAGAATGAAGGAATTATTACAACCCATGCTCTCTGGCTTTCTATATGATTTTTTTTCCTGTATTTTCTTTTTAATATACTTTTAATATTAAGCCAAAAATCAAAACAATTCTTAAGAGTAATTAATAAGAATTTGTAAGAAATGTTACTCTGTGCCCTTGGAGATGAAAAATATAAGAATAGGTTCTTAGGCAACCAGTGAAGAATGAAAGAAAAGCACCTTTTTTAGAAAAGTTTATGCTTTCACAAGAGATGTATTCATTTGCTCACATGACAGAGGCTTGAGCAAATATGTGTAACAGATGTTAATCAACATGTTTCAGCTTTATGGCATAACGCTTTTGTTTTTGTTTTCTTTTGTTTTGTGTTTTTTTTTTTTTTTGAGAGAGGAACACACTCTGCCACCCAGGCTGGAGTGCAGTGGTGCAGTCTCAGCTCACCGCGGCCTTGATTTCCTGGGCTCAGGTGATCCTCTCACCCCAGCCATCCAAGTAGCTGGGACCAGAGGCACACACCACCATACCTGGCCCATTTATTTTTATTTTTATTTTTGTATAGACAGGATTTCAACACATTGCGCAGGCTAGTCTTCAAACTCTTGGGCTCAGCATAATGTTTTAAAATAAAATGCAAATTTTTTTTTTTTATTTTAAAGCATATTATTGTCAATACAATTGAAAATTAATAGTGACATTGCATCACTATTTTTAAGCACATAGATTTCTTAATGTTTTACAAATAAGATAATTTTGAATAATGGACACATTATATAAAGCAGAGCAATTTATGTGAAATTTTTGGGAAAAATGACCTTTTACCAAAGTATATCTTACAGGTAATTCTTCAAACTTTCAAAACAACTTTATCTGCTGACTTTATGGAAATGTTTCTCCAATATAAGATGCAATACATTGCCTCCTTAATCAGAATATTTATATACTGTATTTCTCTGCCTAGCTGGATTCTTAGGTCATTTTGAGCATTCTTTTGACAAAACATGAAGAATTAATGACATCAAAAATAAGCAATGTTCTAAACTGCTTGGTGATACTTTGATAGTCCTGATTAGGTTTCATTTTTCTCCTTATTCAGTGTTAGAGGAGTATGTTTTAATGTCCATAATATCCTCTCATTCCATCAATACCTTTGAAGGTCCCAAAATGTTCTTGATCATCATATCACCATGTTAGTTTTAAAAACTGATTATGCATGTACCCCATAATCAAAATTTATCATTAGTAAGATTGATATGGGCTAGTTAATCCTTAAATTTTTTTTTCCAAATCACTTAGAGATTGTCTTGTTTAGTCAGCTCAGGAACAATTATTCTTATTACCACCTCTTTAGATGTGGTCTTGGAATTAGGGTGAATTTATATCATATATATTTGTCACCAATAGCCTGAAAAGAGACTGTTAGTGGTATTCCAAAACAAATATATTTCTCCTGAACATATAAATTGGAATTTATCTCTCTTATTTTTTTCTGTTTTTCAGAAGTGTTAGTGTAAGTTATATGTAGAAAAGAGGGAAAACAAATTTCAAACTTCCTTTTTTTAACCTTTCTTTGACTATGTAAGGCAATACCCATAAATCTCTTCTTATCTTAAAGCCTGGAGATAGTATGCTGCCTGACATACATATCTCAGAATGTAATTCTCTGCTTTGTTCTACAACTTTTGTTGACAGCATCAGTCTAGCTCCTCTTTTCCTGGTCACTGCTGCTACTGCTCCTTTGTTAAGTGCCTTTAACCCCAATGGGCATTTTCATTAGGACCTTCATCCGGGAAGCCACAAACATAATATGAGAACATGTACTATTAGCTCAGCATTCCATATGGCACAATTCAGTTGCATGTTCTTTTCAAGGGTGCAGCACTGTGGTCTGATTCTCCCCTCCAGCCCTGTGCTTTCTTATCTAGCAGACACAGCATCGTGTTATAATGATTAAACAATTCAACAGGTCTCTAAATTAGTCTAAAATATAGGTAAGTTAGAGGGTGGGGTTTGGTAGGATTATTCATCTGTCTCAAAGTCCTTGCCTTTTTTTTTTTTTAGAATGTTAACTATACTACAGGTTTAGTTTGTTAGAATCCAACTTTAACATGCATTAAAATACTACAGATTATTAGTGGAAACTTATTTCACCACTGTTCCTACTGTAAAACTGTGTACTTTTTTTAACCATGTATGCTATAATACAATTATTTCTTTTTATATATCTGTATTTATGAGATCCTAAATTGTCTGATGAAGTCTACTTTGCATTTGTCTTCATAATACACAATTTTGTTTCAGAGTATACACTTACTATTTGGTTGTTGGATAAATCCATTACATTCATTTATTTTCAATTATACATTTAATATATGATACATTGTTATTAAAATACTGAATTAAGATTCCTTTTAATGTAAAAACAAATATTATAAAGTTGCATCATGTATTATTGCTGGTAATATTTTATTGAATAAGACTTTATTTTCTTATAGAGCTTGCATTCAGTGAGGAAAAATAAAATTCATATATACTCAAATAAAGAATATATTATTTCAGATAATTATTCTTTGATTAAAAAAATAGAACAGGATAAATGAATCAGGATTTTCCTGGGGGCAAGTAATAAGGATCCTCTTTTAAACTTGAAGGAAGAGAGAAAATATTAATATAAAAATATGTGAAGGAAGAATATTCCAGGAAAAGAAACAGGAAAAGCAATCCAAAAAGGAAAGTGGGGAGGGGCCAAACAAATAAATAACAATTAAAAAAGACTGCAACAGAAATGAGGACTAGGTAAAGGGGGAACATGCGATTAGAGAATGAACCGTGAGAAATGATCACATATAACTAACTTTACAGGTCGTATAAGTGTATTGGATATTATTCTAAGAAATAGGATTGTGCCTGGGAGAATAAATGTAGATAAATGAGGCTTTCTTGTTTTATTTTTTAACATAAGAAACATATTAAATATGTTAGGAAAGAGCTGAGAAAAAGAGTCTCTTACAAAAAGAGACTTAAAAAAATTTGGAAGTGCTAAATTGGTTAAAAGAGTGCTTAGCCTAGGAAAGGAGATCTCTCCTACGTAATGAGAAGAAACAGAAGATTGATATGTGTGTAAGTGTATGTTTGTAACTATACTCATGAAATTGACTGCTCAGATACTTCAAGATAGCATTAATTGCCACAGCTGCCCTCTAGCTCAGCATTGGTCTCAGCTATCAACAGCCACTTTGCTCAAAGGAATGGCCTTCTTCTCAGGACATCATACATCAATGACTGGTTGAGGCTGGGGTCTATTTTGACTCCACACTGGGCAATTCTGATGGGGCATATATGATTCAGAGTTCTCTATGGAGTCTTCCAGGGCCACAGTTCTGCTTCTCTCTGCCCAACCCTGCTTCCTTCCCTCTCCTTCAACAGAAGTTGTACTGGAATAAATACTCAGCAAGGCAAACTCTGCTACAGAGAACCTCATCAGCCACAGTTAGGAAACTGAAAAATGTTTCTTCCAATAGATTTTTTTATTTTTGTGTGTGTAAGTTAGAAAACAAAGCCTTCTCTGAGAATGAGTTATGAGATGCATGTGGGTGTAGGCATGGTGAGTTCAAAGGAAATGTAAATGTTTGAAATAGTTGCTAGGAAAACTGGAGCTAAGAATAGTTTAAGGAGACAGAAGCACTGCTAGGCTGTCTTGGTAGCCAAATTGAAGTCACAGACCAAGATAACTGTGAACACTGCTTCCGTTTTAAAAAATATCTTCTCTTGGCTATTTTGAAGACACATATTTATGGCTTTCCTTCTATACGTCTTCCACTTTTTCTCAACTTCCTCTATTTTTTTTTCTTTACTTATCCTGTTAAATTTAATGTTTGTCAGGGTCTGCCCTGGACTCACTTCACACATTTTTTCCGAAAAGGCTCATTTATTCCTTTGCTTCAGTTTCTCTCCATACACTGATAAATCCACAAACTCTTTTCGCTGCCCACTTCCCTTTCTTAACTATATGGCCATATATCCACCAGTCTGTTGATCATCTCTAACTGATAATCAATGATCAAGGTGGAAATCTCACAGGTGCCACAAAAAACATTATCTATCTATCTATCATCTATCTATCTATCTATCTATCTATCTATCTATCTATCTATCTATATGATATATATATAATGTAACAAATTGTTTTATGTTTTTTCCCCAAAAAATCCATTCTTCTCACCCTTAATATTGCATTCCATGGCTTAAACCTAAAAAAAAAAAAGGATAAATATCTGTAGGTTTTCTTTCTTAATCACCACATGTGGTCAACGTTGTAGCCTAAATAACATGTACATCTATCTAATATATCCTTCATTATGGCCTCCAGCATGCCTCACCTATGTTATTGCGGTATCCTGCAAATTGGTCTGCCCACTTCAGTCTTTTTTCTCCAATCCGTTTTATTTTCCCTAAAATAAAATGTAGCATTTTTTCAGATCTTCACAAAACTGTCGGAATTGAGAACCAGACATACATTTTAAAAATCTGCAAAAATAAATTCTGAAAGGTCTTTTTGTTTAGGGCAAGCAGTCGTGGAATAAGCATGTAAACTAGTTAGCTTCTCAAGTATACACAGTGGCTTCTCTGTTTGACGTTACAAGAGTACCAAGTGTCTGTTTTTCTAGAGCTAGTAGTTGGTGAGTTTTGGCTAGTGTTGAGTCGAATCACAGTTTTAGAAGGATATCTGAGAAAATGTCTCTTCTGCTTAAAATGCCTCAATATTTTCCCATTGCTATTGTTATAATTACAAATTGTAAATGCCTTAATATGGCTCAAATAGCCCTTCAACACCTAATTCCTGCTTTCTTTCCTGTATTATCTTTTGCCAACCCCAACAGCTCTGTTCCCATCCCTATCCTATAAATTCTAGGTTTACTGAATATATTATACTGAATTTCTTCAGGTTACTGAAATTCTTCAATTATACTGAATTTCTTCAAATTCCTAATAGTTATAATAATTTCTTCATATTATACTGAATTTCTTCAAGTTCCTAGCACATAATGTGTTCCAAGTTTTAAGTCTTTCCTTATATATCAAATATCAATATCCATAGTAATGCTGTACCACACTAAACATTTCTTTAGTGCTTGAGGCTGTGGTTCTGTAATGTAGGTGGTCTCAGTTGGATGCACTTAGTTATCTGTAGTGGCCTTGGCTGGAAAGATTATATATGGGAGACTGAAAAAAAGTCCCCCAAAGATATTAGGTTCTAATCTCTGGAACCTATAAATCTCCTTATTTGGAAACAGAGTCTTTTCAGGTATAATTAAGGATCTTGAGATGTATGGATCACTCTGAAATTACTAGGTGGGCCTTAAATGTAATTATGTATGTCCTCAAAAAAAGAGAAGCCCAAGCTGTGGGTCCAGAGGGCACAGCCATGAGCCCAGAGGCTGGAGCCATAATCCTTGGAGGATCATTCCTAGACCTTGAAACTTAATAAAATTTGCTCTGTTGGATTTTGAAATTGCTTGGAATTGGTGATCTTTTTCTTTCATTTTCTACCTTTTGAAATAATGTCTACACTTGTCCCACACTAGTCCCACTCTTCTATTTTGGAAGCAGATAACCAGTCTTCTATTTTCAGAAGTCCACAGAAAGGAAAGGGATTTTGGAAAGGAATTTTTCCCCAGATGAATCAGACATGGCTGCACACACATCTTATTTACATGATTTAGATCATGATATTTATAAGTTTTGAACTGGTGAAATGTTGGACTTGAGTTGATGCTGTAATTGATTAAGACATTTAGGAATATTGCAGTGGGGTAAATGTATTTTTCATGTGTTATGAATGTGAGCCTTTTGAGCCAAAGGAAGATTGTGGTAAACTAAAAAATTTGCACTGCAGAGATATCAGGTACTAATCCAGATGACTTGTAAATGTTGCCTTATTTGCAAAGTGGGTCTTTTCAGATTTGATTAAGTTAAATACTTTAAGATGGAAAGATTATTCTAGATATCTGAGTTGGCCCTTAATGCAATCACAAGTGTCCTTATAAGAGACAGGCAGAGGGAGATTATAGATAGCAGAAGGGAAGAGAGTATGACTGTGGAGGTGGAAATTGAAGTAATATGGACACAAGCCAAGGAATGCTGGCAGCCACCAAAAACTGGAAGAGGCAAGGAATAGATTGTCCTCTAGAGGTTTCACAGGGAGTATGGCCCTGCCAACCCCTAGATTTTGGTCCAGTGACACTGATTTCACACTTCTGACTCCAAGAGCTGTGAAAGAATACGGTTTTTTCAGTTTTAAAAGACCCAGTTTGTGGTAATTTATTACAGCATCCACCGGAAAATACATTCATACCCTGAAATGAATATTCTATATCCTACATTTCTTACTTGTTTTCATGGCCATTTCAGAAGCAAAACCTGAATCACAAATGATCAGGGTCTTAACAAATCTGTGTTTGCATCTAGTTTACTGATAGCCTGCTGGAAAATTTAAGTTACCTGGCTGGCTGGCTGGCCTGGAGTCAGAGTGAGAGAGAATTGCATTTGCACAACAAAAGATGTGGATACAGGGTAAAATCAAGAATCAGAGCCACTTTTTGCAATCTACCATTCATTCTTAGGTTTAATTTTTTTTTAATTATCTGTATCCCTAGAAAAATAACATTCATGTTCAGATTTTGCCCTTTCTTAACGGCTTAGGTATTATGTTATAATATAAGTCAAAGTTGATTAATTTTAACTACCATTTAAAAAACCTTCAGTAAGATAGCACTAATTGCCATATAATTATATTCTAACTTGCTGGACAAAGATCATTAATGGTTTTTTTCAGCTTATATTTTCTATCATTCTCCTACTTACTTTCCCAAGAAGCTTTGGGGAACAGACTGAAATACTAAGAAGGTGTTTTTGCCCCACACACCCATTTAAACATTTGCCTATTGTTGAAAGGACATGTTTAAAATACCTGATGTTCCAGTTTGTGAATTATTAATATTTTGTAACTACTTTATATTTTCAACCTTTCAAATAAATGTGGAATGCTGAGTAAAGAACAGACATTATGTTTTCCATTTTTTTCCTTTGTTTCATTTAAAGTGATTGGAAATATTCTAAGCATGAACTTGATTTGAGTCAGAAACACGAGGTTAAAAAAATGAAGGCTAAAAAATTTAAAGTATCAAACATACAAACACATACATGTTCCTATTTATTTTACATTATTTTATTGATATTGCTATTTATCCTTTTTTATTACTGATATTCATAATGTTCTTTTTAAATTGTAATGATAATGAAATATTACTATTTCCAACAATATCACTTTCTCTATATTTGGTGTTTACTTCTCATTTGATAAATATTCATGAAAAAGAAAAAGTAGTGGTTAATATTGGCTGGAAAAATATTTTAGACACATGCTCCATCAGGTCCCCCAAACAGCTGTGCTACTACACCTTCATCCAAAAGCACTTGTCAAGTTCTGGGCCTTTGCAGAGCAAAAGGTGCCAACTCTTGGAGCCTGTGCCAAACTGTGCGGAAGTTGCCTGATGCTGATTCAGATCCAGTTGGAATTATGATTAAAATCTAAATTCAGTACATTTTTATTTTGGAAATAAAACCACACACTCCTTTCATCTTTTTCTTCATAATATTGCTTTTGAAAGGATATTAACTATATAGAAAAATCACAAAATGATTGTCCTTACTGAGATCATATTTGCCATTTTGCAGCTTCCAGACCACAGAAATCTCATGATCTTCAGAAAATTGGATCTTATTCTTTCTAACATAATTATCTATCAAAATTTTCTGGCAAAATATATAGTACATAGTAGCTTAATTTGCACACATGCAAGCAGTACAAACATTTGAGCTATTGGACAATTTTTAGCTCGGTGGTAATAAGGGAATGTAGTCATACTAGTCAAACTAGTGGTCTAGATAGATGCAGTTTCTATGGGACTAACAGGCAGTGTCAGAATTAAGTAAGTTTAATAAATGAAAGCACGTGCTATGATAGGTCCTTTGATTTACTAAAAAAAATTTAAAAGATCACAGCAAAAGTCAAAAAAAGAATGCTGTTGATGCCTTATAACATGTGTCTTATATTGAGTTAATTATGACAAAATGTAACTTAAGTCATTGTCAGCCAAGCCATATTAGCTATCTTAGGAAAATGAGCAAATTATAAAAAGAACTGCCATTTATTACAAAAAGTGTATTAAATGTAGCTTGTTCTTATCACCTAGAAAAAAATTAAACAGAAAACATTAATTGAATGGATTTCTCAAAAATTTAAAACACTGATTATGAAGAAAGTGGAAAATCAAAATATTGATTTGTTTCTCTAGTAAGCATGACATATTTCTGAACTGAAAAGTGCCAATTACTATACTCATTACATTAAGCCTTTTGGCTACTTGTGTGCTGTTATAATAAAATAAAGAAATTCTTATAGAAAAGAATGCATCCACTTCCATTGCCCTCAGTGGAGATGTAATTGTGGTTATTTTCCCCTTTCTGAAGTTTCTATGGAATTTTTCAGGTAAACATTATGGAATTATTTTTTTAAATATTACTGTACATAAAACAATATCATAGGAATATGTAAAAAAGTCAGTATATTTTGTATTACAGAGTAAATGTTGAATAAATGATAATTATTGTTCATTATTTTAAAGGTTACCATTGAATTTCACTAAAAATAAATATTTTATTAGTCAAATTGGTTGCAGCAGGATACTAACTTTTGATAGTAAATACAGGAACACTGGCGTAAAACCTGATCCAGTTCACTTTAACCATCTTAAAATTCAAAAATAAAGTGATAATAAGAGATCCCCTGTATGCTACATGGAAATTGAAAATTATACATAAATATCAGTCTAAAATATTTGATGATTCTCTAGCTTTATTTCCCGTAAGCTTATACTCCTTTTGGTTTTCCATTTGCTAGTGTTACGATAATCAGTGACCTGATGTTTTGCAATGCATAAAATTGCATTATTAAGTGGACATTTGGAAGATAATTCTAGAGTCAATATTTTTAATAATTAGATATAAGTTGTTTAGTACTCCTTTTAGGTATTCAGTTGATGGAATTTAATACTGATTGATGATAAGCATAGGACTCATACGTTGACCCTTTTTCTGAATTAATATTGGCAAGATAAAAAACATTATCTTCTTTCAATAAATGTAATAATTTATAAAATATTTATAAATAATTTTATAAATAACTGCGTATGTACAATATGCAAAGATATTTGTTTGCAAAGAGATGTAGTAATCTCTTTGCAAAAAGATATATTAATGTCTTTGTAAACAAATATCTTTTTATATCTCTGGTATTTTATAATAAATATATACATGTAAAGTTATTTAATTAAGAAAAAGGAAAGGTGCAAAAATCTTACAGCATCTCTTTTTAAATTATTATGGCCAATTTTAAAATAATTTTTAGTAAATTCATGTTTAGACAACATATGAGATTAAAGGAAAATTATAATTACAAATTGAATAAATTTATAAGTAGGTATTTTGTGAGTCTAGGTTTTCTTTCATAACAATGTTTCAACATGATGGAGGCTTCTACAATATGGAGTGAAAGTGCATTGATGTAGCTCCAATAATACTTCTTTACTGACTACATTGCAAATAGCCATTAGATGTTTCTGAGGTTGCCAATAGATTCTACTAATATTAAAAAGGAACTAAGTTTTCTACACATCAAACATTTTACAAAATTTAGAGCTGGCTAGGGGCCTATAAAATTGTCATTTTGTAGCCTAGTAACATACTCAAAATTAAATGCTAACTAAGGGGAAAATTGCATAATATAAATATATAACAGGCAGAATAAGAGAAGCATGCAGAGAATCACTCTAAAATCTTTTTATGATTTTGTGTCTCCAGAGACACTTTACATTCTCCATGGTCCTAAAGGAGAAATCCTTCAACTCTTGCGATAGTCCTCCCTCAGCTCGAAATGTGGAGTTGAATTATGATGTGCAATGGCACTTATCTATGAATATCCTAAATCAGAAGGTAAAGAACAGAGAAAAAGAAAATTACTAATCCTCTCATCTTCAGGAAGAAGTAAAGAATTGGTTAAATGCAACTGGCAAGAATAAAACTCAAGTCACCTTCTAAGAACAAAAGTTCACTGTCATCAGTATTTGCTATATGACTGAAATAGGGAAGGAAGGTAGAAATAAAACTAGAGGAATTTTCTGCTCAACAGAACATCTGCTGTCATCCTTACAAATCAAACTATTTGGGTACATGGAATAGTTTAGCAGTTACTCAAATGAATTAATACCAAATTAAAAAAAAACACATCAAAAGATTGATTGCTGGTAATCAAGAGAGATATTGGAAAAAAAGAAATTTGTTTTTTAGTTCAAAAGGGAAGTTTCATTGTAATCACAAAGATGCTGGGAGTAGCTCTTAAAACTGGGATCACTAAGAACACAAAATATTATTAGACAATAGAAAGAACTCCACAAATAATAAATTATGTATTATTTGCATATTAACTTATTTAGCAATTATAACTGCAATTATAAAATACAGTATCTTAAATATAGTGACCTCCATATGTGTGTAGAAAAAAATGATGCTTGTGTGTCTTGATATTTTATAATAACTAAACTCTATCTCTTCTCAGTAACAGATATACAATGCAACCAAACAAACACATATTCAAATTTAGTTTTAGAAATTGGGATAAATTCAAAATTATAATTAATAATTAAATAAACTAATACTTATTTTTAACACATTTAATAATGTTCAAATATGGAGTTTTCATAATGCCCATATGTTTTAGTGTGCAGTTGCTTATTTTTCTGACACTTTTTAAAAAGACAGCTATCCTGCCATGTTGAATTACAGTATTTCATTCATATTAGCTAATCCTAAGAGACACTGTCTAATTAGAATCACAAAAGAGTTTTAAAAAATCATATCATTGTTGATGTTTTATTAGTATGAAATGGTTTTACTGTTTAATTAATTGTCATACAAATATTTGATATCAAAGGCTGTGTTGCTGGTGTTTGTTACTTAGTTCCTATATCTTTATGGAAGAAAGCAATATTTTTGCTTTCTCCTCTCCTAGGCACATAGGATGATTATACTTCTCTGCCACCTCGAAGTTAAGCATAGCTATATAACTTACTTTTGTCAATGGAAAATAATCTAATAAAAAGTGAACCAATTACTCATGGAAATACATACGAATTAATAGGAGATTCTCCATTCTCTCTTATCTTGTCATGTTGACTGTGGAAAAAAAAGAATTCTACATAGTGGAGACCCTATCAATATGGATTGCTGATACGTCACATAGAGGAGAACTGCCCTGAAAAGACACTCATATTCACAGCTGATGTGGTGAATGAAAAGTAAACATTCATTATTCAACTACAGAGTTGGGGACAGGAAAAGTTGTTTGTCAGCAAAGTGCGACATAGCTTATCCTGATTAATTGAACTTTCTTTTCCTTAATTCCCACAACTGGATGATATGACTTTCTGCCCACTCCACTGACTAATGTCACACATTTGAAGTAATTCTATGTATGTAGAGAGGAGGTATTAGGGAAACTACTTTGAAAACTTTCAGAAATATCCAGCAGTGCTTACCACTTTGACGAACATGACTCAAGTGACAGATGTAATGCTAAGTTATTTATCAACAGTAATTATAAGATCAGTCCTTGTTCTCAAGGAACATATGTTTTAAAGGCAAAACCAACAAAAACACAAATGAATTGGTTTATTTAAATGTAATCATCCCTTTAATGGAAATATATACAAAAAGAGTGAAAACCAAACAGAAAGAAATCGAGTCTCTGCCTGATATAGTTAAGAAAACCTTTGCCGAAAAAGAGTATATTTAGTGGCTGAAAACAAAAGTCTGAGCATACTCTAAGCAAGAAGAGTAGCATATACAAAGGCTGGGTGATGTATGAGCTCAGGACAAGTTCATCAAATATTTCCAAGTATAACATAGAGAAGGTATTGGAATAGATAAAATTGAACAGTTCAACTTGGTCGTATAGTATACAGTCAAATAAGTATACAGTCTATGTGAAGGGCTTTATATATTAGTATTTATAAAAAGCTTTGAAAGAACATGGAGCAAAAATTGAAACGATAAGTTTACATTTTAGAAAAAAACACTGTACAGTTTAGCATTGATTGGAATAAAGTTAACTAAAAGAAAATATTATGAAACAACTAAAAATACAGTTATAGAAATGCAAAGCATTAGAGACATAGAAAAAGGAATAAATTGAATAATGTTTTAAATAGAAAAAATAGATCTTGGTGACTAGATTTGGGAATGAGGAAGCTCAAGAAAACTAGAGAGTCTCCAAGGTTTCAAGTTGGCGGAATAACATGTGGAACTATTGACAGAGATGGGGGATTTAAAAACAAAACCTGTTTTGAGACATGATGAGTTCAGTTTGGGACAGACTGAAATTCTATTTATGTTGCTTTTGGGTATAGATGTCTAGCAAGAACTCAAAATAGAATTTTAGATCACTGATTTATTCTACTTTGATACAACTGTATGAATCAAATTAGTTAAAGAAAATGTATAGATTGTTTAAAGACAAGTGAGGATTAAATAGAAGGTAATAAAGGTGATGGTAAGAATAACTCTAAAATCTTATGTGTTTTTTTTCCTCTGCTTGAGTCCCTGGCTTGTTTCCCTAGTTTTACCATAAAGAATGCCTATTTTATCATTCTCTAGTGCCTAAATTTTGTAAAATCAAGGACATCTGTTTATTTATATTTTACAGTCTACAGAAGTTATAATAATGTTTATAGTTAGGAATATCACTAAATTTTGGCCCAGAAATTAGCCTTTAGTGGAGCTAGCTAAACATGTCGGCACCAGGATTGCTAGCCTAACAATTTAATTTAGCCAGCCACTGGAAACCTTAAATTTCTTAGCTGTTGAATGTATAAATATGAGACTTAGTCATGTGATCACGATTATGTAGGAAGGATGCATACTTCCTACATAATGGAAGGGGCTGACCATTGTCCTACTGTGTTCTGATATGCTTTTCTATCATCTTTGCAAAGCTGAGACAATCTGAAAAAGAAAGTGTACCTTTTAGTATTTCCTTTTGGAACGGAATTTCTGAGCCTTTAACAGCTTGGTTTAATAATACATTTGGCCTCACAAACAAGAAAGGTAATTTGTTTGTTTTCTCTGTGGAGATAAGATCAAAGAAAAGAATTTATCAAGAGATCAGTGCCCATAGCCAAGCTTCAGAACCTTCATAGAATCTGTCACATCTCAGTCAACAAAGTACCCCAAAGGACTCTGTGAAGTAAAATCACATATGTTCATGGAGAAACAAGCCTATTCATTCATATTGCTGAGTAATAAATGAATGTATCATAAGTCAGATTGTAACTGAGGAGTTCTGTATTTGCGCTCATATCCTGATAAATATTTATCTGTCCTTAAGTTTTACTGTTTAGGATTCTCCATTGAAGCTCCATTCTTACTTTACCTATACCACCATATCAACTACATGATTTCAGCGAGGCTAGCTGCCAATCTAGAATCACTGCTCAATCTTTTGGACTTTTCCTGCTTGCCTTCCATGCCCTTGGTCATATGGGTATTGGATTTTGATTAGCAACTTTCACTTATGGTAATAATGACAGGTCTTATATTTATACGTGTAAACCAGTTTTTAGTCTCAAAGCTCTATTTGGACGCATACCCTTCTGTTCTGCCTCTATAACCTTGACCTTATTCTCAAATCAGACCCCTGGATATGTTTGCATTCTAGTTTTAATCCATCTACCGACTGCCATGAAACATTGTGCTGTACATTCAGGAGGATTTGGCATATAGTTTCCTGATGTTTATTCATTCAAGAGGCTTGTACCAAGTGAAGAGACAAGGATTTTTTGAAAAATCAAGAATCTGTAGGAAACTAGTCAAGTAAATGAGTTAATATGACTTTGTTTCAGAATAAGTTTATTGAGAGAACTATTTACTCATGTATGAAATAATAATAGCACCACAAATGAAAAAACATTAAACTGAGAAGGGGTTTTTTTTATTGACCGATAACTCTGTATTTTAAAGATTACCAGACAATTAAAATAACTTTTGTAATCTTAAGAAAGGACAACTAGAAACATGACTGATGTAATTTAATATGACGTAAGATGACATTTATTTATAAATATTCTGAACCACAGCCTGCTTACTATTTCCAACTCAAGACTTCAAACATACATAGCTGATTTGGATTCATTTCTGTTGGTTTGTTTCAATTTGGCTTTAAGCACTTCTCTTTTACTCTTGATTGTATTTATGTTTAAGCAGTTTGTCATTTGCATGATTTACTAGGAAATTATTTATATTTTATCAGAATACAGCATGAATTAGGTTTTATCTTATATAATCTCTTTTAAAATGAATTGCACTTTCTTTGCTTATTCTCTACTATGTGCTTATTCTCATGATATTATAAATCTAAGGCAAGCTGTACCTGTTTTACAAATATGCTGTTAAAATATACATTTGTATATCTATTGTACCTATCTAGAGGCTTTTAGCGATATTCTGATATAAAGATTTTAGAATAACTGTGAAGTTAGTTGGAAATGCACAGGAATCTTGAGATATGATAAAATATAAAATATTTACTGAATACCAATATATTAACTTCTTCATAAGTGTCATGCTTATGAAATAAAACTCCATATAAAATAGAAATTTACAAAGTTGACAATAATGTTAAATCAATAATAAATATTATAACCAAATAATAATGTTAAACCAAGAATACATAATAGAATAGGAAACTAGAAAACACTTTTAGGACGCCAACCATGTATAGGTATATTAGGTGCAACTTGCTAATTCAAAGTAGTGCATTTGATACAAGGATGGAAGAAAAATAGTGAAATGGAAAAGACCTCGAAATGGATGTGCAGGGATAGGGGTTCTGTGCTGATCTCTGCCACTAATGATATCAATTAACTTGAGCAAGTCACTTAATCTCATAGGCTTTGTAGTTTAAAGATAAGTTAAATCATTTCTTGTTCAGTTTTCCTTTTGTTGTATGTCGAATTGTGCCCTCCCTTTCAATTTATTGTTGAAGCCCTAACCCTCAGGACCTCAGAATGTGCTGGTAGCTGGGCATGGTGGTTCATGCCTGTAATCCCCGCTACTCAAGGCTAAGGCAGGAGGATTGCTTGAGGCCAGGAGTGGCAGCCCAGACCAGCCTAGATAATATACAGAGACTTTGTCTCTAAGAAAATTTTTGAAAGTAAATCAAGCTCGACAGGGAGGACCTGTAGCCCCAACTAATCAGGAGACTGAAGTGGGAGAATTGCTTGAGCTAAGGAGTTCAGGGTAGCAGTGAGCTAAGATCATTCCACTGCATTCTGGGCAACAGAGTAAGACCTCATCTCTTAAAAACTGCAAAACAAACAAGTAAACAAAAAACAACAGGAAAGAAATGAGAGAAGAGAAGAGGGAAGGAGAGGAGAGAAGAGGAGGGAAGGAGAGGAGAGGAGAGGAGAGGGGGAAGAGAGGAGAGATGGCAGAAGACAGAGGAGAGGAGAGGAAAGGAGAAGAGAGGTGAGGAGAGGAGAGGAGAGGAGGTTGGGAGAGGGGAGAGGGGAGAGAGGAGAGGAGAGATGAGAGAGGAGAGGAGATGAGAGGAGAGAAGAGAGAGGAGAGGGGAAGAGGGGAGGGGAGAGGAGGGGGAAGATGGGAGGGGAGAGGAGGGAGAAAGATGGGAGGGGAGAGGAGGGGAGAAGAGGGGAGGGTAGGGGAGGAAAGGGAGAGGAGAATGGGGCTGTATTTGGAAATAGGGTCTTTAAAGAGATAGTGACATTAAAATGGGATAATTAGAGTGAGCCTTATTCTAATATGATTTGACTCATTTGTAAGAAGAAGAGTTTAGGACTGTGTGTGTGTGTGTGTGTGTGTGTGGTGTGTGAAAGAGAGAGAGAGAGAGACAGAGAGAGTAGACACATGAAGGTACAGAGAGACAACCATGTGAACACAAGGCAAGAAGGTAGCCATCTGCAAGCCAAGGAGAGAGAATTCAGAAAAAATCCAATTTTGCCAACACCTTGATCTTGCACTTCTAGCCTTACAGAACTGTGAAAAAAAATGTATATATATACACACACACATATATACACACATATATACACATATATATACATATACATATATACATATATATACACATATATATACATATACATATATACATATATATACACATGTATATATACACACACACATACATAAGTTTTTCAAGCCACCCAGACTGTGGTGGTATTTTTATGGCAGTCCTAGCACACTAATATACCTGTAGCATACGAATATACCTGCTCTGATCCTTAGAAACATGTAATCAAATATCCTTTGAATCATATCTATTAATTAGGATTGGTAATAGGAAGTGACATAGTGAAGATTCAATTTATTGCTATAAATGCAAATGACTTACAGAAAAACAAACTAAAGACATTTAATTTAGTCCACAGTTAACTAAACTCAGCAGCACATATGCCTCTCTAAGCTTACATTTTAGTCCTAAAGGATATGGAGATGATCAAAATCTACAAGACCTCTTCTTTTTTCAGTAGAAAAAAGAATATGTATGGAAATCTTCACAAACTATAATCATAATAAAATTCTAATGTCTATTATGATAAATAATCATATGTCGCTATGATTCTTTTTTTGTTTTTTGGAGACAAAGTCTTGCTCTTGTCACCCAATCTGGAGTGCAGTGGTGCAATCTCGGCTCACTGTAACCTCCTGGGTTCAAACGATTTTCCTGCCTCAGCCTCCCAGGTAGCTGGTATTACAGGGGCCCACCACCATGCCCAGCAAATTTTTGTATTTTTAGTAGAGATGGGGTTTTTCCATGTTGGCCAGGTTGGTCTCAAACTCCTGACCTCAAGTGATCTACCCACCTTAGCCTTCCACTATAATTTTAAATAATGGTAAGACATATGACCTCTACTGTGATTATTTCATCATCAACAATTATCTCTACTGTGTGACATGACTGCTTCAGATGCTTTCTCTTATATGTTTAGGCTAAAAATGTAGAATACTCTTTTAGAAATGTTTATTTAATTTATTACTAAGTATCTCACACAAATGAACAATTGCAGAATAGAATTTAAAACACATTGACTATATTAGTCAGCATTACTCAGGAAAACAGAAACTATATTAGTTATTTTAGCTGAGGGGATTTAATTGTAGAGAATGGTTAAATTCCTTAAATTTTATGTGCGAGGAGACTAACAATAACAGGGGACCCTGAAGTAGCATAAAGAGAACAACTACAGGGACACTTTTACACTGTTGGTGGGACTGTAAACTAGTTCAACCATTGTGGAAGACAGTGTGGCGATTCCTCAAGGATCTAGAACTAGAAATACCATTTGACCCAGCCATCCCATTACTGGGTATATACCCAAAGGATTATAAATCATGCTGCTATAAAGACACATGCACATGTATGTTTATTGTGGCACTATTCACAATAGCAAAGACTTGGAACCAAGCCAAATGTCCAACAATGATAGACTAGATTAAGAAAATGTGGCACATATACACCATGGAACACTATGCAGCCATAAAAAAGGATGAATTCACGTCCTTTGTAGGGACATGGATGAAGCTGGAAACCGTCATTCTCAGCAAACCATCGCAAGGACAAAAAACCAAACACCGCATGTTCTCACTCATAGGTAGGAATTGAACAATGAGAACACATGGACACAGGAAGGGGAACATCACACACCAGGGCCTGTTGTGGGGTGGGAGGAGGGGGGAGGGATAGCATTAGGAGATATACCTAATGTTAAATGATGAGTTAATGAGTGCAGCATACCAACAAGGCACATGTATACATATGTAACTAACCTGCACGTTGTGCACACGTACCCTAAAACTTAAAGTATAATAAAAAATAAAAATAAAAAATAAACAACTACACGAAACAGTTACCCATTCTAGGCCTGGATGAACAAAGAGTAAAAGTTAGAGTACTGGAATCTACCTACAAGTTTAAACAAACAGCTGAATGGAACTAACTGTGATCCAGATTTCTCATAAGGGGGATGCTACTGGTATCAATGACTGCTGGTCTCAACAGGCTAGATACTACTGGTATCAGTGAGGTGGAGATAGGGTGCACTGAAGCTGGTCCTTTAAGTAAGAATAGAGGCTAAGTTTATAACTGAAATAATAGCCTAAAAACTAATACATAAACCAGATTTTAACAGCTGTTTGAATGTTGTCCTATTTCATTCAGATTATTAGGTTTACTTGTTTTTCTGAGTTTTTTAAAAATACATATTTATAGAAAATAAAATGAGAAAGCAACTATTTCACACTTTTAATTATGTTGTCTCTGTACATATATATATATATTTGTTATTTTGGGTATGCAATTCAACATAATAAATAGTTTATATAACCAAGTATTTAAAATGGCCCCAAAATATTATTAAAATTATTTTTGTGTCACCATTTATGAAACTGAAACAAGTCTGCAAAACATGCTCAGAAGTTTGGAGAATGACAAGTTGAAAAAAATTCAAATTTATTTCTGGACAAGCTTACTACTTCCAGGTGTATAAGAGTTCATTTACTGATGTTAGCAGCAGCAGCCTAGCAGCCTGGGTGATTTAATTTTACATAGAAGTATGAGGTGTTTATCTCACCTTAACGTAAGTAATCTGGCCCAGATACAGATAAAATTGTATGAGGACTGTTCAATTGTAATTTCACCTAAAAAGAAAAAAAACACACACACACACACACAAACATAAAACCAGAAACCAGCCATGAGATTGTACTAACTTCACAGAACTACTACATCATACAACAATCTCACTTCTAGGTGTAATCCAAAATAAATGAAAGCAGTGTGTTGAAGAGTTATCTATATCCCCATGTTTAGTGCACCACTATTTAGAATAGTCATACTATGAAATCAACCTAAGTGTGCATCAACAGATGAATGAATAAAGAAAAAGTGGTACATATACACTGTGATGGTTAATACTGAGTGTCATCTTGATTGGACTGAGGACGCAAGTATTGATCCTGGGTGTGTCTGTGAGGGTGTTTCCAAAGGAGATTAACATTTGAGTCAGTGGGCTAGGGAAGGCAAACCCACCCTTAATCTGGTGGACACAATATAATCAGCTGCCAGTGAATATAAAGCAGGCAGAAAAAAGTGAAAAAGTGGGACTGGCCTAGCCTCCCAGCCTACATCTTTCTCCCATGATGCTTCCTGCCCTCGAACTTTGGACTCCAAGTTCTTTAGTTTTGAGACTTGAACTGGCTTTCCTGCTTCTCAAGCTTGCAGAAAGCCTGTTGTGGCAGCTTGTGATCATGTAAATTAATACTTAATAAACTCCTTTATGTATCTATCCTATTAGTTCTGTCCCTCTGGAGAACCCTGACTAATGCATACACAATTGAATATTATTCAGACTTCTAAAAGAAATTCTACCTATTTTTAAAACTAGGTTTGCCTTTCATTACTGAGATTTAAGGGCCCTTTACATATTGTGGCTAGCAGATACAAGTCTTTTCTAAGACCTATAGTTTTCAGATATATTCTCCAATCCTGTGGTTGTTTGACTTTGATGATGGTATCTTTTTGAAGCATAAAGGTTTTTAATTTTGATAAATCCAATTTATCTATTTTCTCTTTTGTTGCTTATTCTTTAGGTGCAATAGTTAAGAATTCACTGACAATCCAAGGCCATGAAAATTTACTCGTATGTTTAATTATAAAAGTTTTTAATAGTGTCCTTCAAAAATTCATGTCCACCTGCAATCTGTGAATATGCCCTCATTGGGATATAGAGTCTTTTCAGATAGAATCAAATTAATATGAAGTCATACAGGATTTGGGTGGTCCTAAATTCAATATGACTGGTCTCTTAAAAAAAGAGAAAAATTTGGACACAAATACACATGGAGGGTAAGTGGGCATGTCATAATGAAGGCATAAATTAGAGCTAGGCTGCCACAAACCAAGAAATGCTGAAGATTTCCAGCAACCACTGAAAGCTATGAAGAGGCAAGGGAGAATTCCATTCTCCCTCCTCCCAGCCTCCTGGTCTTCTTATTGCTACTTGCTTTTTTGTTTAGTGACTGGTTGGATTATATTAATGAAAGTTAACCACCACCACAAACACACAATATTCACTCTCTGCTTCTGCTCGTGAGTGAGCAGTCCTTTGGATATTCCCACAGTCACTTTAAACTCTGGGGCAACAGTGCTTAGCTCTTTTTTCTGGACAGGGCAATCAGGCAGGAGAAGGAAATAAAGGATATTCAATTAGGAAAAGAGGAAGTCAAATTGTCCCTGTTTGCAGATGACATGATTGTATATCTAGAAAACCCCATCATCTCAGCCCAAAATCTCCTCAAGCTGATAAGCAAATTCAGCAAAGTCTCAGGATACAAAATCAATGTGCAAAAATCACAAGCATTCTTATACACCAATAACAGACAAACAGAGAGCCAAATCATGAGTGAACTCCCATTCACAATTGCTTCAAAGAGAATAAAATACCTAGGAATCCAACTTACAAGAGATGTGAAGGAACTCTTCAAGAAGAACTACAAACCACTGCTCAAGGAAATAAAAGAGGATAAAAACAAATGGAAGAACATTACATGCTCATGGGTAGGAAGAATCAATATCGTGAAAATGGCCATACTTCGCAAGGTAATTTATAAATTCAATGCCATCCCCATCAAGCTACCAATGACTTTCTTCACAGAATTGGAAAAAACTACTTTAAAGTTCATATGGAACCAAAAAAGAGCCCGCATCACCAAGTCAATCCTAAGCCAAAAGAACAAAGCTGGAGGCATCATGCTACCAGACTTCAAACTATACTACAAGACTACAGTAACCAAAACAGCATGGTACTGGTACCGAAACAGAGATGTAGACCAATGGAACAGAACAGAGCCCTCAGAAATAATGCCGCATATCTACAACTATCTGATCTTTGACAAACCTGACAAAAACAAGCAATGGGGAAAGGATTCCCTATTTAATAAATGGTGCTGGGAAGACTGGCTAGCCATATATAGAAAGCTGAAACTGGATCCCTTCCTTACACCTTATACAAAAATTAATTCAAGATGGATTAAAGACTTAAATGTTAGACCTAAAACCATAAAAACCCTGGAAGAAAACTTAGGCAATACCATTCAGGACATAGGCATGGGCAAGGACTTCATGTCTAAAACACCAAAAGCAATGGCAACAAAAGACAAAATTGACAAATGGGATCTAATTAAACTCAAGAGCTTCTGCACAGCAAAAGAAACCACCATCAGAGTGAACAGGCAACTTACAGAATGGGAGAACATATTTACAACCTACTCATCTGACAGTGGGCTAATATCCAGAATCTACAATGAACTCAAACAAATTTACAAGAAAAAAACAAACAACCCCATCAAAAAGTGGGCGAAGGATATGAACAGACACTTCTCAAAAGAAGACATTTATGCAGCCAAAAAACAAATGAAAAAATGCTCATCATCACTGGCCATCAGAGAGATACCATCTCACACCAGTTAGAATGGCATTCATTAAAAAGTCAGGAAACAACAGGTGCTGGAGAGGATGTGGAGAAATAGGAAGACTTTTACACTGTTGGTGGGACTGTAACCTAGTTCAACCATTGTGGAAGACAGTGTGGCGATTCCTCAGGGATCTAGAACTAGAAATACCATTTGACCCAGCCATCCCATTACTGGGTATATACCCAAAGGATTATAAATCATGCAGCTATAAAGACACGTGCACACTTATGCTTATTGCGGCACTATTCACAATAGCAAAGACTTGGAACCAAGCCAAATGTCCAACAATGATAGACTGGATTAAGAAAATGTGGCACATATACACCAATGGAATACTATGCAGCCATAAAAAAGGAATGAGTTCATGTCCTTTGTAGGGACATGGATGAAGCTGGAAACCATCATTCTCAGCAAACTATCGCAAGGACAAAAAAACCAAACACCACATGTTCTCACTCATAGGTAGGAATTGAACAATGAGAACACATGGACACAGGAAGGGGAACATCACACAGTGGGGCCTGTTGTGGGGTGGGGGGATGGGGGAGGGATAGCATTAGGAGACATACCTAATGCTAAATGACGAGTTAATGGGTGCAACTACACCAACAAGGCACATGTATACATATGTAACAAACCTGCACGTTGTGCACACGTACCCTAAAACTTATAGTATAATAATAATAAAAAATAAAAAATAAAAAAACACACTTTGCTATTATTTTAGTAACTAATAAGACTTCATTCAGAATTAGAACAAAGATCTAATTACTCAGTAAGCTACTTTCCTTTAATACTGATGCTTGATATCCCAAGCATATTTTGTTACCTAAAAAATATTTATATTATTGCATTGATTAAAAATAAAAATATATTCAAAATATTAAAAAAGAAAAGAAGTCTACTGGTAGAAAAGCAATTCTCTCTAAAACTGTGCTAAATAGGGTATACCACACTATTTCCTTCTTAAAATAGTTTGCATCTCTTGATTCTTATAAAGGTCTACCTTCAACTTAATCTCACCATTGCGAGTATTTTTATTTCAATGTCCTTGCAGAAGAAATTTCTGAAAAGAACTATAGAAGGTATTTGATTTTCCACTTTTATTTGGAAAAATGTCTACTGGATGAATTAAATCAATGTTTTTACACAACAATTATTTATATTTGTGCTTATTCCCTCTTTCTCTCTGTTTCTCTCTCTCTCTCTTAAAATTTTGTTTGAGGAGTATAAGGACCAATATTGAAATCAATCAAACAACAAAAACAAATCTATTCCAAGGCAGGTAGAAAAACACATTTGCTTTATCATTTCTTCACTGAAAACACCCCTTGGATTGTAACTAGTATCTTTTTCAAAGAAAGAGATTTGTAAAATAGTTCTTTCAGAGTATATTACCTGAAACTCAACACACTTACTAGAAACGCAGCACTATATTATAGACACAATGTGTTTTTTAGTATATGACAACAATAAAGTATTATCAGGAAGTATGTGTATCACCATATTAACTGATTGATTGAAATAAATGTGCCATAGTTTATTCAATATATATTTATATTTAATATCTGTAACCTATGAATAAAAAATAAGCACTCTGGGTGTCAAAGCTTAGAATGTCAACAATACCATCTTTTGTGCTTTTTGGAGTGCTTTCAAAATGTTGTCTTCTAAGAATCAGTTTAGAGACTAGAAGGTGAGAGAAAGTAATATAGGCTAGGTATACTTCATGACCCAAAATCACTGATATTTTGGTCTTTTTGCAGTGTGGAACTACACATGAGAAAAACAAAAGAAAAGATATTTTAGAGGCAGAGACTGTGTGTGTGCGTGTTTTGATGTAATATTTTTTTTTATTTTTTCATTTTCCATATAGCATCTAGTAGATTATCTTGTTAAAGTAGCTCATAGCCGGGTGCGGTGGCTCATGGAATCCCAGCACTTTGGGAGGCAGAAACCGGTGGACCACTTGAGGTCAGGAGTTTGAGACCAGCCAGGCCAACATGGTGAACCCTGCTCCTAGTAAAAATACAAAAATTAGCCCGGCGTGATGGCTGGCGGGCGCGTGTAATCCCAGCTGCTCGGGAGGCTGACGCAGGAGACTCGAGATTGTGCCACTGCACTCCAGTCTGGGCAACAGAGCGAGAGTCCATCTCAAAAAAAAAAAAAAAAAAAAAAAATGTAGCTCATAACCAGATTTCTGACCAAATAAAACAGCAAGAGGAAATGTTTGGTCACTCATATGCCAAAGAGTAATGTCAGGAAAAAGATAAATGAAGGAGGGAGAAGAAAAAAAAAAAGACAAAGAAAAAAATAGATTTTTTTTTCCAAAAAAAAAACCAAGCAAAGGAGAAGAAGGGAAGAAAGGGAAGGAAAGTGTTAAAAAGAGAGGAAGAGACAGAAAATAAAGTGAAATAGTAAAATGGATGAAAATTGTTCTCTCTTTTTCTTTATTTATTTTTATTTTTATTTTTATTTTGGCTTTCAAGTCAAATTGTGACAATGGATATCTGTGCAATTGACTCTCACGGCTCAGAGGTAGATTGGATTCATAGACATGAGTGTAACCCCAGGGGCTGTGCCCCTCTGCTTTAATAGTGATGCACAGTTACTTCTCTAGAGAAAATTTGCTTAAGTATATTCTCACAATGACACCATTCACTTTTGTTACCACTGAGCTAGGAGGTAGTAATGTAAATCATTTCTTTACACATTATTTTGGAGAAAAGTGAGGTGGGTGATGGGGCATATATAATCTATAATTAACTAATGTTGAAATAATTTAATTTTTTGTCAGTGGCTGCTATTCTTACTTTGGAAGTACTTGAGTTTAAATACAAAAAAAAAGGTTAAAAATTATATTGGTTAGGAATGCATCAATGAAGTTTCAGTCATCAAAAACAGCATAAGAATTACCGAAAAAAGGTTGACCATTCTATATTGAGCTATATGTGCTTATCAATAAACTTGAAGTCTGATAGAAGAGTACATCTCAGTTTAAGCATTTAATAATGAGTTTTTCCAGTAAATATTTATTAGGATTTATTTTTTACTTGTTCTAAAAAATATAAAAATTTCTTTAAGCTAATAAATAGCCATAAGAATTTTCCTTTAACTTTTTATCACAATCAGGTGTGGAACCTTATCTATAGTGTATTTAAAAAAACTTTCAAAAACACGTGTCCCATTTTAAAACATTACTGAAAATTAAGGTCTTAGAAATTTAATATTGCCATTCTTCTACATCACAACGTTGATTGACTTTATCTTGATGAACTAAGTCATTTTTGTTTTTCTAATAGGACTTATCAATTACCTTTGCATTTTAAAATTTTATATTAAAAATAGTATAGAGTAAACCATATTACTGATAATTAACTTAAAAAATGTAGTCTACTTTATACATGCTATGGGAAATAAAATGGGAAGCTTTGTTAGTTAAGAAGTTTTGTTAGTTAAGAAGTTTTGTTAGTTAAGGTAGTGCTTTTTAAAGGAAAATATTCATGCATCCATTTTTATATTCAGTTTTGAAAAACTCCAAGTGTTTTATAATTCTCGCAGGAGACACAGTTTGGTTTAATGGTTAAGAGGACAGAGAAACTTGGATCTGAATTCTGACTCAACTATATGGTTTTATTGCCCTTTACATAATATCCCTGAACCTCAGTATAATCATAATTTTAACCCATTTAGAGAACACTAATAAGAGTGAAATAAATTGATAAAGGTTAGTGAATAATTATTAGTTGCCTTTTGGATTTTAAGCAATTTATATAATACTTTAAATAAAATTTTTATTGTAGAATAATTTTAAGTTTACAGAAATTTTGCAAAGGTAGTGCAAAGTTTCTAATATATGCCACACCTAATGTCTTATTATTATACATTAGTATAGTATGTCATTAATATCACACATTAGTGTGATACAATTAATGAACCAATATGGATACGTGATTATTTACTAACATTCATACTTTACTCATTTTTTTTAACCTATCCTTTTCTCTTCCAGAATCCCATCCAGGACACACATTACATATAGTAAAACTGTCTCCTTAGCTGTGAAAGTTTCTCAGAGTCTTTCCTTTTTGATGACCCTAACAGTTTTGACGGTTACCAGTCAGGCATTTGTAGATAATCCTCAAATGGAATTTGTCTGATATTTTTCTCATGACTAGATGAAGCTTATGGATTTAGGGAAGGAAGACCACAGAGTGGGATGCCCATCACATCATATCAGGGGTGTATATATCAACATGACTAATCTTTGTTTATGTTAACCTTAATCATGTGGCTGTGGTAGTGTTTGTCAGTTTTCTCCAATGTAAAGTGACTTCCCCAAATTTTTCATGCTTCATTTACCCATGCTTTGGAAGAAAGTCATTATATGCAGCTCACTCTTCTGGAGTGAGGAGTTATTATTCACCTCCTTAAAGGCAGAGTATCCATGTAAATTACTTGGAATTTTGCATATGTATTTATTCTTACCATTTGTTTATTTATTTAATAATATATTTATATCAGTGTAAATTCATGGGTTTTTTTTCTTTACACATTGCCATCTAATTCAAAATTATTTACATTGTTGCTCAGTGTTTTAGCTGTGGTTATTAGAAATCTTTACATAAGCTTCTGTGTCCCTTTGACATAACCTGCTCATCAGGGGTTATTCATTTTTTTATTTTCAGCACTTTCTTACTTTCTGCACTACTAGATGTTCCAGATTCATCATGTATATTTCTTGTTTCAGTAGAATTAGTCCTTTCTCCAAGGAGCACTTGTTTCTTTATTGTATAATAATATTAGAAACCAATAACTGTGTAGGTTTACATAAAATTTAATGAGAGTTACTTTTAATAAATTTTTGAAATGTAAGGAATCATATATGTAAAGAATGACATTCAACTTTGTATCTTCATGGCATACTGTAAATTTTAGTCAATTACAAAAGAAAAAATGTATATATTCCCCCAAATATGTATTTGTGTATCTCAATTTTGTATACAGTATATAATTTTAAAAATATACATATATGATACATTAACTATTTTACATATAATAGTAATATAAATTATATTAGTTATATATAAGTATTATATCATGTGATTACACACATATACAAAATGGACAATTTTAATATACTTAAATATAATGTAACTGTCTGCATTAATTTATTAAGCAAACAAGTTTAGAAAAAAATGTAATAAACATAAGATATGGTCTGAATATTTGTGTCCCTCCAAAATTCTTCTGTTTAAACCTAACCTCTAAAGCAATGCTATTAAGACGTGATGCTTTAAGATTTGATTAGATACTGAGTGCACTATCTTTATAAATGGGATTAGTGGACTTATAAGAGAGACCTGAGCTGGGTGCAGTGGCTCATGCCTGTAATCCCAGCACCTTGGGAAGCCAAGGCAGGCAGATCACTTGAGGTCAGGAGTTTGAGACCAGCCTGGACAGCATGGAGAAACCATGTCTCTACTAAAAATACAAAAATTAGCTGGGAATGGTGACAGGCACCTGTAATGTCAGATACTAGGGAGGCTGAGGCAGGAGAATTGTTTGAACCCAGGAGGCGGAGGTTGCAGTTGGCAGAGATTGTGCCACTGTACTACAGCGTGGGCGACAGAGCAAGACTCCATCTCAAAAAGAAAAATGCCTGAGGGAGCTTATTCACCTCTTCTACCATGTGAGGTACATAGAAGACACCATCCATGAGGTACAGATCCTCACCAGACATGAAATCTGCTGGGTTCTTGATCTTGGACTTCCCAGCCTCCAGGACTGTGAGCAATACATTTCTGTTGTATGTATTACCTGATCTACAGTATTTTGTTATAGCGGCCAGAACAGACTAAGACAGCATATAGTATATTGTTAAAAACACACTTACTTAAAGAAAGTATCCTTTGCCATGTTTAATCAAATTATTGCTAAATAAATAAATACATCAAATTGATTGATAGAAGTTATCTTACCGGAGAAAAGTTAGAATCCCAGGTCCTCTTTAGGGATAAATATTATTCTTTTAATCCATTCTTATGATCTATTTTTCAAAGTGCTTACGTATTGTGAATGATGTGGAATTGCACAAAGACAATAGATGCAAGGGAAAAATAGTTCAAAGAAACATCTGTATTGATATAATCACAAAACTGAAGGGCATTCAAAAAATATTGCCTTGTTATCCCAAGTTAACCATTACTTATAACAGCCAGAATACTTGATGATCATATATGCAGATGATATCTGAAAAGTAAATTTAAAAATTAATTATTTCTGTTGGTCCCCTCTAAGTTCAGTATTTTTCCTGGGCTACTTTCAAGATCTGAAAAGCAATAACTGAGAAGGAAGCACTGCAAACTTGCCTCGGGCTGGTCCCACACAAAATTACCATAACCATTTTCACTTTTTTTTTTTTAACTAGCCATTTCGAGAAAAGAACAAATAGGCAAAATTTCCATCAGTCAAAAGATTTATTAAGTTGTATGAAGACATCCTCTCTTCATGCCTCCACTCAACCCCAAACTTAAAGCATAAACATATTTTATTTTACTCTATATACTTTATTCCATCATAGTTACTTTCCAAAAAAAAGCCATTGCATATTTGTCCCAGAGTAGAACAAATTTAGTTATGTTTTTAAGTTACTAAAAATTATCTAATATATTCTACTACTTATAAAAATGTAAAATACATTATTTCTGTGATGAAATTTCTGTGTTTGAAATTTGTCACTAATTCAGACAGTGAAAGTCACAATACTCTTGAGGTAGGATAGGCTGTCAAGGGAGTAACTATGTCCTTGGGACATGACAGCCTTGGGACTGTACAGTCAACACAATTAGCCCCACTGTTTGCACTGTCGTCAAGGTTATTCAAGCAAAGCTATCTCCAATAGAGAATTTTCCCTATAGAGAGCATGTATATTTTGATTTTACCTGTGTTCAGACTGACTCTTTGCTCATTATAATAGTAAAATCACAACCTTAGGTGGAGATTTAAGATGCTAATGAGAAATGTGATATATGAACAAGCATCCACAGTTACTTCACATGTGTGCCCAGAGGACCACCCAGAACATCCCTACTATAACAACTCTCCCCACACCCTCATGAATAATCATGTAGGACTCCCATAAAGGGAGTCTCCCTCGTGTTAGTTTTTCCTGTCTCATTCTAACGAACAGACCACACTAAATTCACTCTCTCTTAGGGTGCACTGTCTATTCCGTTCTTAACTTTCAAAATATTCTTTTTCCTTTGCAATAAATTGCTCTGTGCTGCATTTCCTTTGCTGTGTATCTCTTGTTTAAATTATTTTAAACTAAGAAGTCAAGAACCAAGTTCTCACAACAGCTGTCAACACTCTGAGATATTGATATTCCTGATTGCAAGACCCACAAAATGTCTCTGAAATTGAAATAAAAACATTCATATGATTACTGGTAGCTACATGATATGGTTTTGCTCTGTGTCCCCACCCAAATCTCATCTTTTAGCTCCCATAATTCCTACATTTTGTGGGAGGATCTTGGTGGGAGATGACTGAATCATGGGAGTGGGTCTTTCTCATGCTGTTCTCATGATAGCGAATGGGTCTCACTAGATCTGATGGTTTAAAAAAAAATGGGAGTTTCTCTGCACAAGCTGTCTTTTGCCTGCTGCCATCCACATAAGATGTAACTTGCTCCTCTTCACCTTCCACTGTGATTGTGAGGCCTCCCCTGTAATGTTGAACTGTAAGTCCAATTAAACTTCTTTCTTTTATAAATTGCCAAGTCTCGGGTACGTCTTTATCAGTAGTATGAAAACAGGCTAATACACTACATAATGTGGTACAGGTATCCACAAATGTAGAGGAAAGTACATTTTTCATAATTTATTTAAATTGGTTGTATAAGCATGATAAAATTTGCTACCGTTTTTAATAATGGCCAAAATTTAACCATATGACTATAAATTTTATTATCTAATATTTTTTAGAAAGTAAATGTACAACTTACTTTTTTGTTTTGTCTAGATTGCTTTTTAAATGGATGCATATTTACACAGCCTCAGGGTACATGTGATAATTTAATACATTAATATAATCTGTAACGATCAAATCAGTGTACTTGAGATATTCATCACTTTAAATATTTCTCTTTTCATTATGCTAGAACCATTCTAATTCTTCCTCTCTAGCTATTTTGCAATATAAAATACTTTATTGTAAACAGCATTAGGTCTTATTTCTTCTAGCAAGCTATACACCTGTACCCATTAATCAGCTTCTTTTCATCCCCCTCTCCTCCTTACCCTGCTTAGCCTCTGGTAACGACCACCCTACTTTCTATCTTCATGAGATCCAAATTTTTGGCTCCCACATGTAAGAGAGGAGACGCAATGTCTTTCTATGCCCAGTTTATTTCCCTTAACATAAAGTCCTCCAATTCCATATATAGTTGCAGATGACAAGATTTGGTTGTTTTTTGTGGCTGAATAATGACCCCATTATGTATACATACCATATTTTCCTTATTCATTCATCCATTGATTGAATTTTCTTTTTCTGTACAAATTCATATATTTTTCAGATTCTACTTAAGCAAAAGTGTTTTGATCCTGAATAAAATTTAAATGTTAAAAATGCATCTCCTAAAATATGTGTATTAAGCTTTTATAAAAAATTAAACTTTAGTGTTTTATGTGATTTGACTATATAATAAAATATTCTCTAGATTCATAAATTTAGTATTCATAGTTTAAATTTTATTGGTTTCTAGGTCCTGATAAATTTCCAAACCTGTCCAAGTACTGATTTAACCACCAAAGATTATGCTTTTCTGTGTGTGAGATTATGCTTTCTTGTACGTATGAGATTAGAAGATATTTTCATGTAACATTAAAAATCATTATAAATGTTGACGTTAACTCATTACTAATAAGTATTACAAAGTAATTAATGAGATGTTATTTTTATGTAATGGCTTTGATACTAATCATCTAATAAATATCTTTTAAACTTTATAAAATTTGGAAGTAGAAAATTATAGTTTATGTTTCACACACACATTTTTCACAATCAATTTGTCATTCTTTTGATTTGAATTAGCTTGGGCCAAAAGTAAAAATCTCATTTTTCTTATCCACCTCCAATTCTCTGAGTGTGCACTTTTTGGTTAAAATCAAAACTAGATTAAAAGCACAGATATCATAAGAGGCAGATTCTTGAGCCATTTCCTGCTGTTCTTAAATCTATGCTTTTTTGTCTAACTCTTTCTGGATGGAGAATAATGTGTTTTTTATTTCCTTATTTCCATTTTTTGGATTGCCTTCAGTATAGCACCAACAAACTGACAGTTTTAAGTTAAGAAAGTGCTCATGAAAGGGATAAAGTAAAATAGGGACCTTTAGAGCATCTTTTTTCTCCACAATCCTCTCTTTCTTCAGCTAAATGGAAGTAGCAGCAATCACAGCTTTTTATGTTAGTGTTGGCATTTTATAAAGACTATATGCAGCACATTATTAATCATTTTATAGTGATATTTTAGATTAAATTAATATTTTATGTTATTTTATAATTACATTTTATCTGCATATCTATTTTTCATTGATTATTGTTACACTATATTATGTACAAATAATGAATATGGGGCATTGGCTGTAAATTTCTGTATGACAGCCAGAGTATTAAAATATCAAGTTAGGTATACCTTTGTTGACCACTAGTTAATATATTAATAAGAGTTATTTCAGTGGTAAGCATGGCATAGTTCCTTCCCGATGAAGCATAACATGCTTTTTAAAAGGTAAAACAACAAGTTAGTGGGCAATTACTCAAAGTGTTAAGTACCTGGGAAGTAGAAATCATAAATGAGAGTCATGTAATAAAGTCCTCTTGGCTTATGTATGGAAGGGAGCCAGTCAGCAGAGAACTAAAGGCATTCACAAAATAAATTACAGATAAACTGAAGCATTAAGATCAAAGTTAGCCAGTCAAGAAGGTGAAGCATAGAAAACAGTATGTTCCAGCTTTCAGTGGCTAGGGAAAGAGTACCACAATTAAGCAACTGAAAAGACATTTTAGTGGGGACATGGGGAGAAAAAAATTACAGGAAAAGAGGGTAAACAGGCAAGCGGAAACCAAGCATACCTTATTTTGGAAGTCATGTAAATAAAGTTTGAATTTTATTATCAGATCACTAGTTTACAGTCCTTTTCTTATTTAGGAAAAAGCAATGAATGATGCTAATTGGTAATGGAGATTAGGTTTTGAATATCCTAAGTCAGTCAAGGAAGAAATTACACACATACCTGATGTGTTGTTTTCAGATAAACATAGATAACTGGTATTTATTAATAAACTATTAGGTTAAATTTATAATTTATATTGCTAGGGAATTTGGTAAATAATGCCTAGAATTTAGAAGAAGAATGAAATGAACAGTTTCTAGCATAAAAAAAGAAAAGCCATACAGAAGTTCCTTGAGACCGGAATATATCTCTGGAACTAGTGTCAAGAAAAAAGTAGAGCCTGGCAAAGCCATAGTCACTGGGGAATATCTACCCTGACATCTATGGTTGCTGCTTTCAGGTAGAGGACATTAAGTGGTCAGTTATTTACAAAAGGAGTAGAATAAAGTAGAATATTGTCTGCAGGGACTTACTAGCAAACTGCCTGGGATCTAACCCTGGTTTTGCAAATGACTATGTATATAACCTAAGATATTTTGATTCTCAGTGTCCGTTTCTATAGAATAAAAATAACAATAGCATCTACTTTATCAAAGGATTATTGTGAGAATTAAGTTAGCATCTGTAAAGACAAACAATATATGGAGTACAGAGATCACAGGTTCTGCTTAAATTTTAGCTGCTACTATTATTTCTGAATCTGGAGGTGGACAAGGGTAGAATAGGTAGACTTACTTTGAAATTATAATTTATCATCTATAGCTAATAAATTTAAGTTTAAATTTCTTGTATAGATGTATATTAAACCTTTTTGCGATGAGCAATTGGGTATATAAATAAGGTCATCATATACTTTATTACACAAACAGGAAAATTTTGAGATTGAAAATGGGTGTTATTAATAATTATGGCTGAAAAATAGGTGACACTGGGACTATCTTCAGTCAACAGAGAACTTGTGGCCTCAGTACCAGGTTTGATGTTACAATTTGTGCTCTCAGAAATAAAAATTCTTTGATCATGTCTTTTTAAGTAAACTTGTATTTGGAGTTTTCAATAAGGCCAATAATTTTTGATATCGTTTATGTAGGTCTTTAATGCTTTCAAACATATTATATGTTTTTATTTCCCACAATACGGACATAAAGCAGGTAATATGTTTAATTATCACTGTTTCACAGGTGAGGGAATTGATATGTGGTAAATATAAACATATTTCTTGAAGGTAAAGTTTACTCAGCTAATTAGCATTAAAGGCAAGATCCAGTGCAGGCATTTTGTTGTCACACCAACATTCTTATACGGTACACCAAAAGCTCTTGCAGAATCTTATCAGGAGGGTAACATAATCATATTTCTATTTTAGAGAGTTAATACAGTTCTAATGTTGGAAAAACTTCAGGGGTAAAATGCTGATGCAGAGAGAGCGGTTACAAAAATGCTGAAGTACATAAAGTCTAGAGTGAATGGAGAAATACTGAACAAATAGCGTTCATATGGATTAAGATTTTGATTAGACATTGGTGGAGGGGCAGAGAGAAGAAGTGGATATGGCCTCTCAAATCCCTTGGGAAACTATGTGCATAATTACACTCTTTATTCATTTTCAGTCAGTAGGCATTTTCTCTCTCACAAAATATGTGAACTTTGATTTAGTAAGGTATAAGCTAGATAAGTGGATGTCCTGATTATCATCCTTAGTGTAGAAAGAGACATTTTAGAGCAATCAATTTTGAAGTTTTAGATTAAAATAATATGCTAAAATATTATAAAAAACTGAAATTTTAGTAATCATGTAACAATCGCTTTGCATTTGCTTGATTATATCTTCTTTTACAAACATAGACAAAAATATATTTTAAGGATAAATTAAGAGACATGTTTTTACAAGATCTTATAATAATCATTTTCTTTGTATATTTTTAAACAGGAATGAAAGGTATTTACATGAAAAATATTTTCATGATTCCAATTTACTTTAGCAGTCGCTGATAACAATTTCAAAATTTTAAGGGCAATAACTGGTCCTCTTTCTTCTTAGTGTGAATTAAATCCTGGTCGTGTTACATATTGAATTGTGTCCTTCCCCGAAATTCATTTGTTGAAGTCCTTACCCCCAGTACTAAAAAATGTGACCCTATTTGAAAATAGATGCAGATGTAATTAGTTAAGTGAAGATGAGGTCATTAGCATGGGCACTGATCCTATATGAGTGGTGTTCATATCATAGGGGGGAATTTGAGACAAATGCATTCATAAAATGCCACTGAAGACGAAGGTAGAGATCAGAGCAATGTTCTACAAGCCAAGGAACAACACAAATTGCCAGCAAGACACCAGACTCAAGGTGAGAGGCACAAAACAGATTTTTTTTTTTCTCATAGCCCTCAGAAAGAACCAACCCTGCTGACACCTGCTGCTGGTCCCTGGACTACAACGCTGTAACAAAGGTTTTTAACTACCATGTAGTTTTCAGATGAAAATAATCATCACCTTTAAACAGATTGTCATTGTTAATGACATGAATATCAGGATTTTCATATTTTGAAATCACAGAATAAGAATTCTTTAGTCTAATTCTCTATTATATAGACAATGAAATAATAATACTAATAGAAGCAAAAAGGTTTAATCATGTATTGACTATTTGTCATGATCTAAGCAGATTAAGCTGAATGAGGTTAGAACTGCTCTTGCTTAAAATTCCTGTGCTGGGGTTAAAACGCATTCTAATTCCAGACCTTACTCCATTAAATCACTACCTTGACTCCACCCTACATTTGTGTATTAGTGTACATATGTCTGTGTGTATGCATAGATCCATGAATGCACATATGTATATGTGCATGTATAAATGTTTGTATGCTTCCTTTGAGACCACTTTAGATACCATGGCTAATTTCAAATTTTAGAAACTGTTTTTTCTCAGTTTCCCATCTTTAGTTTCAATTATTTTGCTATGTGCATTCTTCACTTTTTCATTTATTCCGTTATGACTTCCACCTCCTGATTGCTTCATGCTTTCTAGTTATCTTATAATTTCAGATGTATCAACCAAGCATCATAGTCATTTAAATTCTACCTATTCTAGCAATATTAAATTGCTAAATCCCTAGCCTCTTCCATGGCTAATTCATGATTTGTAGTCCATCTTCCATAATCCCCCAACCATTGTGTTCATTCTTTTACAGCAACCATTTTTTTAAAATGTCATAAAATACAGGTTCATTGGATCTATTTCAGATACAAATATTTTACTCATAAAAGCATACTAATTATTTTATTTATCTCTTACTTTAAAAATATATAGTTTCTTGCTTACTGTAAAAATTTGTACTGTTTTTAGTTGAAAAATAAAGCAGAAATCAATCAATGACTCAGAACCTAAGGGTTACATGAAATATAAAGGGATAGGTCTAGAATCTTACAAGTGATTTTTAAAATGAGTTATATATATGCTACTGGATAACATTTTAACTCTGCTTTTCCTTTATTGAACCATATATGGGGTACCAGATACAGTTATTTTTACCACAGTTGTAGAAATTTAAACAAGACAATATAATTTTAACACAGCAATGAAAACGACTAAACTCTTGAAATGCTCAATAACAATGGTGACTACTTCAAACATAATGTTCAGTGAAGCAAGCCAGATTTCGCTTATGAATATTGAATAGATTGTTTATGAATATTAAATAAATGTAACTATAAAATATAGATAATATATTTTATAAAAGAGACAATTCTCTACTTTATAGTTGCATTTATTTAATATTCATAAGCAATTCAAACTAACCTGGGTTTTATAAGTTGGGGTAGTTCTCATCTTTGGGAGTTTAGTGGATGGAAGCGGGTAAAGGTGCTATTCAACTTTGTACAATTCTATTGAGTGGCATTCTTATGTCTTATGTATTTTAAGAATACAACATTTAAATCAAAAGTGTATTAAAAAAGAAAAGATTGATGTATTACAAAATGTTAGTATTTGGTCAGTTTGAGTATTATATTTTCTACAACTTTTTATATACTTAATATTACACACTTCAATATTAAATGGAATCATATAACATTTGCTTCATTTTGTCTTATGCTTCATTTGCCAATATAATATTAAGGTAGATGGAGATAATATCTAATATAGGATTGAATAATCAGCTGGTCATTGTGTTAATTTGCATGGGAAATATTCCTAATCTCCTGGCTGAGCATCACTGGACAAAGTCCATCCACCAGGATAGGCTTGTACCCTTTCTGAATGTTAAGGATCCAATAACTGCTGTTGCCTATTTCATCCCTCTCCTCCTCGGATTGAGAGGATGAGTTCTGGGTGATTTGAGAATGCAGTATTGTGTCCTTATCCTCAGGCTGAGAAACTGTTCGATTATTGTCTCATCATCCTGAACTATCTTCTTTTCTGCCATTGTATCTGCTCTTTCCCATCTATAGTCAGTAACAATCGTTGCTGCTATTAGTATCACAGCTACTTTTCATTTTTTCTTCCTGTCTTGTTCATTATCTGCACCTTTCCTCTTGCTTTACGCAAAAAGTCAGTTCCAGTTCTCTTCCTCCTGTTCTTTCTTTCTCTTTCCCCCTGCTATTTTGTTTATTGGCTTTGGCTTGATACCATTTCTCTAAGACTGTTCTAAGTTAAATGATTAGGTACAACCTATAGGATATATATTTCATCACAACTAATTATTTTGCCATTTTTTTTCTCCCAGAGTTATAGTTAATATGTTACATTTTATCTTTCCTTATTTTTCTTTGTTGGTTTTTGCTTCTAGGTATAAGTTTTTCTTCTCCACATGAATAAAATTTTAAACATTTTGTATGTGTGTATGAGTATTTATGTTAACCAAAGTTACCAATAGTAGTTCATATTTTTAAAAATATAAAAGATATATACAGGAAAATGTAATAATTTCATTGATGAAGTGATGATAATTTAGTTAGGGTGTGTTCTGTAGACCTACAAAGGGAAACCGCATGCAGATATTTGGTATAAGTTAGCATTCTTCCAATATCAAACTATAATTGATTTTGAGCCTGAAAAGAATCAGCTTCTCCAATCTTGTAAAGATATACAACTAATGTAGGCTTCTGAATTTATTTTTAAAAGATCATTTAAAATTGAAACATGTAATTTCTAACTTGAGCTTTTATTAAAGTGGTAGGAATATCAGAAACTCTGCTCAATAAATATTGTGATGTTTCTTCATTATTTAGCTTGGATAATTTTTTTCAACCAGTTCCTGAGCTCCTTTTCCTACCTGCTTCCTTGCTTGTCTTGAGATTTAAATGTGATATGTTTTAAAAGCAATATTCAGAGGCCAGACACGGTGGTTCACTCCTGTAATTCAGCACTTTGGGAGGCCAAAGTGGGCAGATCACTTGATGTCAGAAGTTTGAGACCAGCCTGGCCAACATGGTGAAATCTTCTCTCTACTGAAAATGCAAAAATTAGCCAGGTGTGGTGATGCATGTCTGTAATCCCAACTATTTGGGAAGCTGAGGCATGAGAACTGTTTGAACCTGGGAGGCAGAGGTGGCAATGAGAACAATTCAGATAGTACATAATACAAAAGAACTCTAAGAAGAAATACATTGTGTATATTTTTTTTGTCCATGACTATTATTATTACTTAAATTGGCAAGCATTAATTTGCTCTTAGTATGAACTAGGAATACAGTAATTTAAACAAACAATTGTACCATGTGAATTTGTATACTGCTAAAGCTAATCTTTGAAGAATATTTTTCTAACTTGAGGCATAAATGAAATTAGATGTATCTGGGACATTTTGTTGTATGCTTACAAGAACTTCAAGACACTAAATGACTGAAGCATACTTAAATATATCTACATATTTTAGTCTTTGCAAGCAGAGAAGAGAAATAGTGTAAAATATGAGTAAACCTGGCAATCTCTTTAATAAAAATATGCTAAGACCTGCAGTGTTCATTGGCCTTGGTGGCCACATATTATTATCCAGGTAGAAAGAGGCTAATAGTGACAATAATCATGCAATAACACAATAAAGGGTCCAATATTTATTTCAAAAAATGATGAAAAAATCCAATACCTGGAAGAAAGCTAACTCTACTCCCTAGGAGAGCCTAGATGACACTTCTAATTATAACAAAGAATAAAAAAGGAACAGATCAGATCAATAAATCATAAATACAGCACACTAGATCAGGCACTGTTCTGGGAAAGACTCATGTTTCAGAAATTAAACTCCATAATAAATTCTGAGATACCATAGCCCCATTCTATATAATGGAAACTATATTACAAAAACTTGTCTAATGATTAGACTTGGCAAAAAAAATTAACTCATAATATTAATGCATTCACCAATAAAAAATGTAAAAATAATCATGAGCATACCATCTCATGCACAAAAGCCATTTAACTATGTAACAATCTATTAATAATGTAGCCAGATTAGTCAGAAAAGTCAGCTTTGCAAAGGAATATTATTATTTTTCAGTTGTTTTCCTCCTACCCATGAAAAAAATCTTCCCTGCTTTACTCTCAAACAATAATTCATTGAATAGTGTTGAACAATAAGAAAAATTATAGATTTGAATATTCTTCATTATTAAACTTTTATTGAGTACATTGTTAATTACCAACCTGGTACAATGTTTAATTGTTGCATTACAAATTTCAATCACTCGCCTCCACTTGCAGAGCCCCACTTATGGGCACTACCACACCTGCAAACCCTGCTGTGCAGGGAAACTTAGGAAACTCTATATTCTATTCAGCTATTCTTCCCCTTTGTTTATTGGTTTAAAAGTGAAAAAAAATGAATTTAAATGCAGCTGTAAATTTTGTAGAATTTATTGTGGTATAGAATTAAAAGAATTAAAAATATGGAAGGAATAACAGTGATCAACTTAAATTATGATGAAAATTGGAAAAATAAAATAATTTATGTCAAAGAAAGACATAAATTTGAGCTAAGAATAAGCTCAACTTATATGCAGATGATTATGGTGGTAGAAGTAGATATTGGATTCTCGAAATTTTGAAAAATAAGGAGAAAATAATATTGTGCAGGGGATAATTGATGATGCAAAAAAAAAGGAAGGCATAATTGTAAGTACAAGATTTTTAATGAAGAAGTTTAGTGTAGAATGAAGAACACGGAGGTAGGTTTCTTAATCAGGAGGGTAATTGCCACTTTGTAGACAGAGTTTATGAAAGAGGAGTGACAGAATACACAGAATGTTTTCATGCATTTATCTGAAGTTAAAGTTTCAATATTTTCTTCTAATAGTGATGTAATCTACTTTTTAATACTTGGCAAACTTAGATATCTGACTCAGTTCCACCTTTTAGATTGTAACAACATTTTTCTAAATTTTTTCTTATATAAATTATTTACAGCCAATATCAAATAACATTATATTAATGAATGTTTATGAAAACCCAGGCCATCTTCATTACATACTATTATTTACAGCTTTTGATGGGTATTCTAAAATATAAGCTTATTAAAAAAACGTTTTTTTATCATGTTGAATCTAATACTTCAAATAAAAAATGTTTACTTTATATATATATTTTTTGCTCTCAAATGATTAAATGATAAAATATTAAAATTAAATTGACTATAGCAATAATTAAAATTACATACCTATCTAGATTACTGTTTTGACAAAACTCAATGTGAAATTGTTTAAAGATGAAGTTAGTTATTGAAAAGCAAAATACACAAATTTTCTGGGAAAAATTCATATTGCCAATATAAGTAGTCTAAGAAATTTGGCACAATAATTAAGAATCTGCATGGTTACATAAAAAAGCACTCTATTAAAGAGAAAGAAATAAAGGGAATTCATATTGTTAAAGAGGAAGTAAAACTGTCACTGTTTGCTGATAATATGATTGTTTACCTCGAAAACCCTGAAAACTCTTCCAGAAAGCTCCTAGAACTGATAAAATAATTCAGCAAAGTTTGTGGATACAAGATTAATGTACTCAAATCAGTAGCTCTTCTGTACACCAACAGCAACCAAGTGAAGAATCAAATCAAGAACTCAAACCCCTTTACAATAGCTACAAAAAAATAAAATATACTTAGGTATATACCTAAGCGAGGAATATAAAGACTTCTACATGGAAAACTACAAAACGCTACTGAAATAAATCATAGATGACACAAACAAAGGGAAAAACATTCCATGCTCATGAATGGGTAGAATAAATATTGTGAAAATGAGCATACTGCCAAAAGCAATCTACAAATTCAACACAATCCCTATCAAAATACCACCACAATTCTTCACAGAATTAGAAAAAAAATTTTTTTAAATTCATATGGAACCAAAAAAGGTCCTGCATAGCCAAAACAAAACTAAGCAAAAAGAACAAATCTGGAGGCATCACATTAACTGATTTCAAATTATACTATAAGGCCATAGTCACCAAAACAGCACGGTACTAGTATAAAAACAGGCACATGGACCAATGGAAGAGAACAGAGAACCCAGAAATAAACCCAAATACTTACAGCCAACTGATCTTCAACAAAGCAAACAAAAGCATAAAATGGGGAAAGTACACCATTTTCAACAAATGGTGTTGGGATAATTGGCTAGCCACATGTGGGAGAATGAAACTGGATCCTCATCTCTCACCTTATACAAAAATGAACTCAAGATGGATTAAGGACTTAAATCTAAGACCTGAAACTATAAAAATATAAGATAACATTGGAAAAACCCTTCTGGACATTGGCTTAGGCAGAGTTTCATGACCAAGAACCCAAAAGCAAATGAAATAAAAACAAAGATAAATAGCTGGGACTTAATTAAACTAAAGAGCTTCTGCACAGAAAAAGGAACAGTCAGCAGGGTCAACAGACAACTCACAGAGTGGGAAAAAGTCTTCACAATCTATACATCTGACAAAGGATGAATATCCAGCATCTACAACAAACTCAAATCAGCAAAAATAAACAAACAAAATCTCATCAAAATGTGGGCTAAGGACATGAATAGGCAATCCTCAAAAGAGGATATAAAGATATACAAATGGCCAAGAAACATATTTAAAAAATGCTCAACATAACTAATGATCAGGAAAATGCAAACCAAAACCACAATGCAATACCACCTTACTTCTGCAAGAATGGCCATAATCAAAAAGTTAAAAAACAGTAGATGTTGGCATGGATGCAGTGATCATGGAACACTTCTACACTGCTGGTGGGAATGTAAACTAGTACAACCACTATTGAAAACAGCGTGGAGATTCCTTAAATAACTAAAAGTAGAACTACCATTTGATCCAGCAATCCCACTACGGGGTACCTACTCGGAGGAAAATAAGTCGTTATACAAAAGACACTCGCACACACATGTTTATAGCGGCACGATTTGTAATTGCAAAATCGTGGTACCAACCCAAACGCCCATCAATCAACGAGTGGGTAAAGAAACTGTGATATATATATATCTCACATATACTACTATATATATATATACCTATCTAGATATATATATCTAGTAGTACCCATGTATACTACTATATACATATAGTGGTAATTTATCATATATGTATATTGTATATGTATATGATATACATGTATATGTATATATGTGTGTATATATACAGATATGTATATATGTATATACACATATCTATGTATATGTATATACACATATCTGTGTATATATGTATATACGTACATATATATGCATATAGATATATATGTATATCTACATGTATGTGTATACGTATATCTACATATCTACGTATCTATGTATATCTACATATCTACGTACATATGTAGATCTACATATCTACGTATCTATGTATATCTACATATCTACGTACATATGTAGATCTACATATGTATATCTACATATATGTATATCTACATATATATGTATATATGTATATCTACACATATGTATATATGTATATCTACATATTTATGTATATATATACGTGTATATCATATACATATACATATATACATATATATGATTAATTACTACTATATATAGTAGTATACATGTACTATATATATAGAAGTATACATATATATGTACTATATGTCTATAGTAGTATACATGTATACATGTATAACCTGATTGTAGGCTTTGAAAAATGTCACAAATATATTTTAAATGTGGAAACTATGAATCTAAACAGAAGTATTAGAAAGCTCTGGCAAGATTGTGGAACATTATATCAAAATGCTGATCATTTGGAATTTTAGTTTACAGATTGTCTAAGAATATTAATATGGTTGCTCTTGGCTAAACTGCTAAATTTTGGGCTAAAGTAACACATATTGTAGAATAAAAACAAAACAATGTGTATTCTTTTCTTCAAGATTACTTTTTTATTTTTATCTTATTTTTCCTCCATGTTTTTTCTCAGTACATGTTCTCTTCATATTAATTTTCCGAAATTTGTTTTTCATTTGTTGTGTTAGTATTGTGCATTTTTGAAAATATATATAAAATTATAAATGTTTAAGTTTATCAATTATACATATAGTTAAGGATATATAATTGATACTTAAACATTTATAGTTATACATGTAAATATTTAAATGTTTAAATTTTTCCTGGGAAAGTAGCATAAAAATAAATAATGCATACAGTGGGCTTCTCAAAAAGAATGCTTTTATTGCACCATGAGATCAGGAAACGTTCAATAAATGCTGACTTCTGCTGTTTCAGCATATTTTGAGATCAAGTCAGGAAGAACCATACACTTCAGACTAAGCTGAATATAAAAGGAAAGAGAATTATTTAAGGCACAGCTGTTGGAACAGCTACTCTTTCTAGTATAGAAAGATAGCAAATAGTAGCTAGTCAATGGGTTTTATAAAATGAATACATTGTTCAGAAAAATAGGATTTGTCAGTGTTGGTATTCTCGGGTCAAAATTGTCAATGTATTTTGTTAACACTTATCACTCTCCACAGTTGGTATACTACTATTGTGAAAAAATGTATCCCAAATTAAATTTGACAACGTAATTATGGGAAAATAGTACATGAATGAAGAATATTTGTGAAATGAAGGAGAGATGAATTTTCAAATACTTTTTAAAAAAAGAAAAACACAAATCTCATAGAAAAGATACTGCATCAAATCATTCTATCTGCAACTGTCTAAAAATGATATCTTTTAAAGGATGCAAGTTTACTGTGCTAGAAGCAAACCAAACTATTGTAATATGTGTTTTACATTTTTTTGAGTTTAATATTCTTGGCATATGTTAAAACTACTGTAAATATTCTGAATGATTTATATAAGAGCTTTTTTTTCTGGATACATGCCTATATTGATTGCCACATTAAATGGATTGTGAAACATTCATGTATTTGAATTGCCATCAGAAATAATTGTAAGTTCATGTCTTCTAAATCTCCCAGAGATTTTAGATGTACTTTTCACTTTTTAAAAGCAGTCTCCCTGTCATTATATGGTGCTTAATAATTAATTAATATTTAGCCAATATAATAAATCATACTTGGATACTTAGTTTCTTCAAAACCCTTACCTCTGTTTTTGTTTTCAAGCTTCTTCACTGACTTTCTCACCCTCTGTGATACGTGACAAGACACAAATTTTACAGAGCAAAATATCATATAGGGATATCGTAGAGATATATGATGTAATAAGAGTTAAAATAAGGGATTTGCCCCAGTCCTAGATATCACAAAAAGTATCTATGAGAAAGGAATGGTTGGTTATAAAGTTATTAAAAAATGAGTAAAAGTTTATTAGGCAAAGTGTAGAGAACCAAATTCCAGATGTTAGAAGAGAGAAATCTCATGAAGAGGTGAGTATGGTTTCTTTTATCACACTTGAAAGCAGAGGAACTAAAACACAAAAGGTGCTTGAGAAAGTAGGGTGAAGTTTCCATGCAGGGTTTCATTAAATTTTCTGATTTTTTTTTGTAGATACCAAATGAAGACCATTTAGGCATTTGAAGGACACAATTAGGTTTATATTGATGAGATATTGCTGACCTGGGCATACCACTAGCTTCAAGAGTAGGACTTTCTTGATTCTCATTAAGACTCATTCTTTATATTTCAGATCACAGTGAATGAAATAGGCCTTGTGTATTCTTTCTTTTCTCTGCTTTTTTTTTTTTTTTTTAGTTAATGCTGTGAGAACTCAGAGATCATCACATATGTAGTATTAGTTTTCTATACTGTGTAATATATCACCACACAATTAACAGACTAAAATACTATAAGTCCGCTACCTTACATTTCCTGAGAGTCACAAGTTCAGGTATGGCTTAGCTGTATTCCTGCAGAAGGTCTGACAAGGCCGCAATCTAGATGTTGGCAATAACTGCTTCTCATCTGCAAGGTTGACTTGGAAAGCATCTGCTCCTCCCATTTTGTGACTGTTGGCAGCATTCAATCTTTGTAATAGTAGAATTCATAGCAGCTGCCTTTTTGACAATAAGTAAAGATAGGGAGACTAGAAAGAGTCTGCTAGCAAGATGAAATCTTATATTAGGTAACTTTATCATAGAAGTTGTATCTCATTACTTTTGTCATATTATTGGTTAGAAGTAAGTCACATTTCTGACCACATTCAGGAAAGGGAAGCAGCATGGATATGGCGATTATACAAAAACATTTTAAACATCAAAGCACAGAGATTAAAACTCCATCTTCCATGTTCTTGCTTTCTGCCTTTGTCTTTTAGATGTTTTTTCCTTCCACCAGGCAACATTGGTGTCTGGATTTACTGTCCTGGCTGCACACTCAATACACAAATGCATTTTCATTGCCACCTGATATTTTCTGGTTTCATTCTCCTGGATCATTATAGTATGAAATAATTTCATGATTCATAGTGATAAGATCAGGAACTTATATTGGAATGTTTGGGTAAGGAGGCATTGAATACACAGAACTCCTCTATTGCAGTATTAGATGGTTTTTCCTATGAATCACATAATAAAATATTTGTTTTATTAATAAATTAACAAAACAAAACAAGGTTTTTCTTAAAACAGGAACAAAATGATTGTATTTTGTTTATTTTTGTTCACCAATTTATTTCCAACATCTACACCAGTGCCCAAATCATAGTCAGTGATATGCAAACAATTGTTGGACCAATGCTTGAATACATACATGCATAAATAATGAAAGAATATGTGGGTTAATCAATCTGGTTAATATGCCTCCCAGTGAGAGAGCATAATATCAACATCCTTCTGCTCAAAAGAGTGATCATTTCAGGTTCCCAGGCTAAAGGTCATGCCATTTGAAGTATAACATCCTTGAAAGATAATCAATGTTTTCTTTCAAACATGTGTTGCACTAAGAAATTACTAAATGTATTTTCTTTTCAGAAACAAATGCAGATGTTAAATCTCTTTTGTTCTTTTCAAACAGAGCTTTTTAAAAATTAGAAATTATTTCTTAGCATAAAGTTGGAAATACCTTACCTAGTTTGAGAATACTCCACAAGAACACTGCTATCAAGATTTCTGTTAATTTTCTAAGCCTTTAATATCCTCCTGCTTTTCTATAGTGTTACAAATTACTTTGGGCACCGTTTTAGAAATCTAGTTCCTATAGCCATTCAAATTACATTAACTTGTTAAAAAATAGATTTTAATAAGTGTACTTCAAAATAAAACTAAATATTTAGAAACCATAAAAATTCATGCTCAGGCATAGTGAATAGCCCCTTATTCATTATAAATACCTTTCAAGTGGACCCAATAATTCTTTCTTGAGCTTTTCTTTCTCATTAATAATGATGTGACAGAATAGATATACAAGTAATTTCACGTTTACATTTTTTATATTGTAGGAAAAAAAATCAAACAGCAAAAGAGGAGTGTTAATGGGATAATCTATAGCTCTCTTGATACTGCTCAAGCTGTAACTGACATTTCTTATCGTTTTCCTAAACAACCCATTCTAGATCCCCAGTTTGTACTTCTGCTGGTTTAAGTAGTTTGCCTGTTGCACTGACCAAAACTTTTATCAATGAAATATCAAGGACTCTGTATCACATATTGAGTTCTTCAGAAAATAAGTTAAAATATTTGAGGTCCAGGATTTATATTAAATCCTGTGAAGAGGAGGCAGGATTAGGCAGAAGAAGAATATAATATGGGCCTGATAATGCCACGGCCAACCCAGCAATGAGTTCTGGAGCTAACATTATCTTTCAGAGTTGCCTATTTTCAGGACAAAATGGCCAGGCCTCTATACATATGGCTCAGCCATAACATGAAGTCTTCCTAGAAAGAGTATGACCTCAGGAGAAGCAAATCTATGCAGCTGAGGTCCACACTTAAGTAATAATTGACAGCTAGAGGCTGTCTACTGACTATACTTCCTACAGATGGACAGAATACCCTTAAAGGGGGACCTGGGTGACACATCTCCATGTGTGCCTGTCAGGTTCTGAGGTCCAAGAGGAGTTGGCGGGTGAGTGGCAGGTAGCTGCAAAAACACTCGAGGAATCGTAGACAGTTTCCACGTGGCTTTACTCTTTCTCTGGGCATAGAGTGAGCCATATGTACAGCACTAGCAGGATAATTATACCTTTACAGACAATAGTGGCTCTGAGCCAAGCACAAGCTCACGTGGGTGATCACCTAATGCACCTCACATGGCATGGTTACATAATGCGCGGGGTTGTGTGTCTGCCCTCCAAACCTGCTGAGTCATGTTATGGTGAAAGAGCTCCTCAGCTTACTCCAGACCAAAGTGCAGCCATTTCCCTTACACTCCATCCCCTGGGCTGAGGGCCTCATCCAGGCAGCGACTCATGCCCATAGAGCAGAGCCCTGATTCCATAACCCACAACAACTAACTATACAGAGAGCAGAGCTTACTACTAGGATCCCAGCTATGCTACTTGTGACTATAGGGCTCAGCGTAGTCCAGAGTCTAGGGATGCCCACCATCTCTGCAGGGGGTTGTCAATAAGACTCTCGACCACCTTAATCTCCCATGAGACCCCTTGCAGGGCTGCTGTTATGTTCTGCTGATTGTCAGAGATAAAGGTACAACATTGTGTTCCTAAAAGGGCACAGGAGCCTCCTTGGGCAGCAGTTATTATGCCTAAGGCCATTGGTTTTGCAACACCACCTTTCTGATCTGATCAACCTCATCCATTAACAGGAGGAGGGCCAGTCAAGTGTGATTCAGAGCCCGAGCGGTGTGATCTACAAGAGCAGTAACTTGTGCTTCTATAGTTATGACACCCACTTCAGGGATAGTCATTGCCAAGGAGTAGAACCACCAGAGGGCTCACTGTACTAGCAACAACTGATAGTGTACCACCTTCCAGTTTTGTGGGTGTCTGGGCAATGTGGGAGAACAGTGGCAAGTATGTAAGGCCACCCCAAGATACAATGTACAGTCCTGTCTGCTGGTAGGTAAGGTCACCCTGTGTCCCCACAGACCCATGAACTCCCAAGAAGGGGCACAAAATTCACTGGGGCCCAATCTTGGTGGGGACACTTGTTCCACCATACCTTCAGTGTGGTGACATGTGTTACATTTACACAGGCCGTGATGGGAATTCATCCCACAGTGGTGTTACCCCAGTGTTGCTCTATGCACTATGGCACCTGGTCTGGGCATACTATATGTTTTCCCACTAGCCAGCCCCACCTGACATAAACACTATGAGCCAGCCAGGGGGCAGATGTGCCATGGGTCTTGAAGCATCTTTTTTCCAGAGCTTGCATGTTACATTCCAGGAATTGGCTATGGGACCCCAAGTCTCCAGCCATTTCCAGCACTCTGCAAATGCTGAATGTATGTGCCAAGGCAAGCCATCCACAGCTGCTGCTGGAAGGTGGGGTGCAGATACAACAGTTGAAAATATTGATGACCTCAGTGTAGGTGTGGGCCCAGTCCACAATGCAGTTAGAGCATGTTAACCTACGGTTGAAGTGACAGAGCAGGCACAGGTACTAACATGGTAAATCACGTCCCCCAAGCAAAATTCAGGCTAACTGTTCATCCCTGGATAACAATGCACCCCTTGGCAATGATATCACACGTTTTCAGCTCCCCATGGTTTTTGGGTTCCGTATCCCTGCCAAAGTCCCAGGGGAGCTCATAATACACCACACAGATAGTAAATATGTCCCCCGGAGGAGCGTTCCTTCCCTGGCCATTCCCCTACAGTTAACTACAGGAGCCATGTATTGAACACTCAAGGAATGACATGCAAGGCATACTGTAGGCCCTCCCCACAGGGAACTCTGATGGCCAGCCACCAGCAGTGGGGGGCCTGGAGGGCCCGTGCCCACAGCCAGGTTTTCTGTTCCCCTGCCCTTAGGGGTGTTGGGGCAGGCAACAGCAGGTTACCATTTGTCCACATACCTGGTCGAAGGAGGTCATCCTTAGTGTGTATCTGCAACTCAATGGGGGTGGTGGCCTAGTGTAACAAGGACTCCACCAGGGCCAGGCTGCCTTTCTGTGGCCATTTATTCAAGGCTTGGAGCATCAGATCAAAACTGGGACTCCAGTCTTGCAAAGATGGGGGTGTGACATGCAAGCGTAACTCATTCTTCAAAAGCCCATTCTATTGCCCAATCATACCCACAGCTTGCAGGTTGTTTGGCACATGGAATCTCGACTTTATGTCATTTGTTGTTCCCATTGTTGTACCTGTTGTCTGGTGAAATGTGTTCCCCTGTCACTCACAGTGACCAGTGGGTGACCATACAGGGCACATAGGTGTGCAGTGCCTGGATGGTGCACTGTTGGTGGGCTACCCTGCAAGGGAGGGCGAACAACAGGCATGTGGCCATGTCCATAGCTGTTAGCATATGCATATACCCTTGTGACTTTGGCAGTGGCCTAATGTATTCTACTTGCCATTTAGTCAAAGGCACACAGCCTATTGTTACTTGTTGTGTAACGCTGGGCAGCTGCTCCATTTACGGTATGCCTGAGCACGTGCCGGGCATTTCTGTCAAGCCTCCCAAATGTCTTGCATGGGCAGGGACAGTCCCTAATGCTTCTCGACCTGTTGCATCAGTTTACCCACTGCATGTCCCAGTTTTCAGTGTAGCTACAAGGTCCCATCTCATGTAGGTGCCAACTCTAACCATTGGACCTTGACCAAGGTGTCTGCCTCATCATTGCCAGGAGTGGCAAAGGCATATGTCATGACACATGATATATAGTTACTTCTTTCTGATAACCCATTTCCCAGAGGTCTTGCCACATGACTTGGCCCCAAATGGGTTGGTGGCTGACTAGCTACTTATTTATTTTCCAGGTAGTTAACCACCAAGGTTAAGCCCTGATAGGCTACTCAACTATCGGTACAGATTACCATAGGTATCACCTCCTTGAAGATCATACTGCTCTGAAGTCAGCCCATTGACTACTCTGTCCACACCCATTTTTAAACCATATGATGTCAGTACCAGGTTGGACTGCAACAGTGGTCCAGGCCAGAGCAGTACCTTGGCTAGACCCATCTGTGTACCATGCCCCACCGGGAATGGGGAGATGCCCTTCCTTAAACAGTAAAGGCTCAGGTTCTAGAGGTGCCTCAGGTCACATGGCCTTATCTTGCATTAGGACTACAGGTCTCAAGACCTCTTCCAACTTGGCTGCTAAGCAGCTTGTACTTAGCATACTCCACTTGTTCAAGTAGGTGCCCCACTTTGCCAAAGTGAATGTCTGCACCATCCCTTTGGGGAGGGGTCGTTACCCATGAATGCCCCCATCCTGCTATCAAGTAAGTGACTGCAGCCCATCCTGTTGCACTCTCACAAACCTGAAGGGCAACATATGCAACTGTTAGCTGTTTCTCTATCAAGGACTGCCAGAGCTCAGCTCCCTTCCATAGTTGGGACCAAAAGCCTACTGGCATTCTCAAGTTCTCCGTGCACTGCCACAGGCCCCAACCCAAACCATCTGTGGTCACATGCACACCCAGCTCAAACAAGTGCCCCTGGTCAACTACTCGTAGGGCTTGTGCCTGCTGAACAGCCCCCTTGGCTGCCAGGAAGGTGGACTCAGCCGCATCATCCCAATCTCAGGCAGCTCCCTTCTTTATTAATCAATTCAACGGTTTTATCATTTGAGCTAAATGGGGCAAAAATGGCTGCCAATATTCCAGGAGGCCCACAGAAGTTTGCAGCTGCTTCACCGTGGTGGGCCGGGGATATCCCTAAATCTTATCAATGATAGCCTCTGGGATGGCCTTTGTCTTAACTGACCAGATAACTCCCAAGAATTTGGCAGATAATCCAGGCCCTTGGAGTTTGGATTCATTGATGGCCCAATGTTGCCACAAGAGGTGCACTGAAGCTTCTAAATCTGGAAGAGAATCAGAGGTTAATGTAATACTATCTATACAATGGAATAGGCGGACCCCTTCCGGACATTGCCAGGTGACTAAATCTGGGACAACTAGACTATGACATATGGTGGGGCTACACACACGACCCTGCAGCAACACTTTAAAAGTCCATTGCCTCCCATCCTATGTGAAGGTGAACTGTTCCTGGCTCTCTGGAGCCATGTCCATGGAGAAAAATGCACTGGCCAAGTCCACTACATAATGGGACTCTCCTAGTTTTGTCACCAAATGGTCCATCAAATCCATAATCAATGGTACAGTTGCATGCAAATGGGGTGTTACTTTATTCAGTTCCTGAGAGTCCACCATCATCTCCCAAGTTCCATCAGGCTTTCTAACTGGCTGGCCACACTGGAGAATTGTAGGGGCTGTGGGTGCCACACACTATCTGCACCTCCCCCAGCTTTTTAATTATCTCAGTTATCTCCTTATGTCTACCCAGCAAACAGTGTTGACGGGTGGAAGTGACCTGTTGGGTTGTCGCAGGACCTGAGTTCAGTTTTTCATTTTTGTTTTTTTTTTGTTTTGTTTTGTTTTTCACATATTTAATGACTGCAATGAAGTTTCCAGATTTAGAACTGGAGCCAGATTTTACCATTTTTAAAATGTCTAATTAAAAAAACATATCCAAATCCAGGAACAGAGGAATTGCAACAAAGAGCTGTGTGTGTGTGTGTGTGTGTGTGTGTGTGTGTGTAAACATGTGTATAAATATATCAGCAAAATTCAGGAAATATATGTAGGAATAAATACTAACTCTATTAGCCCAGGAAAGAAGAACATATGAACCAGGCTGAATCTTAACCTTGTTTACAAGCCTTTTGCAACGAGCTAAATGTGGTTTTAATTATTTGCCTGTTAGGTGACTGAAACCTGGACTCAATAAGTGGCCTACTGTCATATCAACAGAATGAAGGACAAAAAACATATGACTATTTCAACTGATGCTGAAAAAGCATTTGACAAAGTTCAACATCTCTTCATGATAAAAAATACTAAAACAAAAATTGAGAGCATACCTCAGCATAACAAAAGCCATCTATGGCAGACCAACAGCTAACAGCATACTGAATACAAAAAAATTGAGAGCCTTTGCGCTTAGATCTGGAACACAACAAGTTTGCCCACTTTCACCACTGTTATGAAACATGGTACTAGAAGTCCTAGTTACAGCAGTCATGCAAGAAAAAAAAAGAAATGGCATCTAAATTGGAAAGGAAGTCAAATTATCCTTGTTTGCAGATGACATAATCTTGTATTTCGAAAAACCTAAAGACTAAATGGAAAAACTGTTAGAATTAATAAACAAATTCAGTATAGTTGCAGGATACAAAATCAATAGTATTTCTATATTCCAACAGTGAACAATTTGAACAAAAAACAAAAAAAGGAATCTGATTTACAATAGCCACAAATAAGATGAAATACTGAGGAATCAACTAAGAAGTGAAAGATCTCTGTAATGAAAACTACAAAACATTGATGCAAGAAATTGAAGAGGGCACAAAAAGAAAAGAAATTTCATATTCATGAATTAGAAGAATTGATATTTTTAAAATGTCCATACTACCCAAAGCAATCTACAGACTCAATCCAATCCCTATCAAGATACCGATTACATTTCTCACAGAAATAGAAAAATCAATATTAAAATACGTATATAGAATCATAAAAGACCCAGAATAGACAAAACTATCCTGGGGAAAAAGAACAAAACTGGAAGAATCACTTAGCCTGATTTCAAATTATACTGCAGAACTATAGTTACCAAATCAGCATGGTACTAGCATAAAAACAGACACATAGACAAATGAAACAGAAAAGAGAACCCAGAAACAAACGCATACGTAGACTGAACTCATTTTCAACAAAGGTGCCAAGAACATACATTGGGGAAAAGATAGTCTCTTCAATAAACTGTTCTGGGAAAACTGGATATACATATGCAGAATAATGAAACCAGACCCCTATCTCTCACCACATAAAATCATAAAATCAAAATGGATTAAAGACTTTAAGACCTCAATCTATGAAATTACTACTGAAAACTTTGGTGAAACTCTCCAGGACATTGATCTGGGTAGAGATATCTTGAGTAACGCCCCATAAGCACAGGAAACCAAAACAAAAAGGACAAATGGGATCACATCAAATTGAAAAGCTTCTGTACGGCCAGGCGCGTTGACTCACATCTGTAATCCCAACACTTTGGGAAGCTGAGGCAGCCAGATCACGAGGTCAGGAGATTGAGACCATCCTGGCTAATATGGTGAAACCCTGTCTCTACTAAAAAATACAAAAAAAATTAGCTGGGCGTGGTGGTCGGTGCCTGTAGTCCCAGCTACTAGGGAGGCTGATTCAGGTGAATGGCGTGAACCCAGGAGGCGAAGCTTTCAATGAGCCAAGATTGTGCGACTGCACTCCAGCCTGGGTGACAGAGCAAGACTCTGTCTCAAAAAAAAAAAAAAAAAAGCTTCTGCACAACAAAAGGAATAATCAACAAAGTAAAGAGACAACCCCCTACTAGGAGAACATATTTGCAAACTATCCTGACAAAGGATTAGTAACCAAAATACGTAAGGAGCTGAAACAACTTTAAAGGAAAAAAATCTAATAATCTAATTTACAAACGAACAAAAGATTTGAACAGAAATCAAATTTCTCCTAGCCTCCACAAGAAAAGAAAACATAAAAAGAAAGCATAAGGCCAGGCGCGGTGGTTCGTGCCTGTAATCCCAGCACTTTGGGTTTCTGAGGAGGGTGGATCACCTGAGGTCAGGAGTTTGAGACCAGCCTGGCCAACATGGTGAAACCCTGTCTCTACTAAAAATACAAAAATTAGCCAGGCATGGTGGTGTGAGCCTGTAATCCCAGCTACTTGGGTGGCTAAGGAAGGAGACTCGCTTGAATGTAGGGAGTGGAGGTTGCAGTTAGCCAAGATCGCACCATTGCACTCCAACCTGGGTGATGATAGTGAAACTCAATCTCAAAAAAAAAAAAAAAGAAAGAAAAAGAAAACATAAAAATGGTAAACAGGCATATGAAAATGTGCTCATCAGAAAAATGCAAATCAAAACTACAATAACTTATCATCTCACCTGAGATAAAATGATTTTTATCAAAAGTCAGGCAATAACAAATGTTGTCAAGGACACGGAGAAAAGGAAATCATTGTATACTTTTGGAGTGAATGTTAATTAGTACAACCACTGTAGAGAACAGTTTGGAGATTCTTCAAAACTCTAAAAGTAGAGCTACCATATAATTCAGCAATCCCATTTCTGGGTATATATGCAAAAGAAAGGAACTCAGCATATTGAAGAGATATCTGCATTTTCACATGTATTGCAGCACCATTCAAAATAGACAAGGTTTGGAAGCAACCTGTGTCCATCAACAGACAAATGGATAAAGATAATGTGGTGCATATATACTATGAAGTACCATCAGTCATAAAAAAATGATATGTTGTCATTTGCAAAAACATGAATGGAACTGGAGGTCATTATGTTAAGTAAAATAAGTCAGGCACAGAAAGAGAAACATTGCATGCTCTTACTTATTTGTGGAATCTAAAAAGCAAAACAATTGAACTCATGGAGATAGAAAATAAAACAATGGTTACCAGAGGCTGAGAAGGATGTGGGGGGCATTGGGTGGGGGGGGGGGGCGGGGTTTGGGGAGATGGGGATGATTAATGTGTACAAAAAAAATAGAAAGGATGAATAAGACCTAGTATTTGATAGAACAACAGGAGGACTATAGTCAATAATAATTTAATTATACATTTTAAAATAACTAAAAGAGTATAATTGGATTGTTTGTAACACAAAGGATAAATGCTTTTGGGGGATGAACAACCAATTTTCCATGATGTGATTATTACACATTGTGTGCCTATACCAAAATATTTCACTTATCCCATAAATATATACAACTACTAAATACAAAAATTAAAAATAAAAAACTTAACAAAAGAAATAAGTAACCTATTGAACTTGAGATCCAAGAAATACTTTGGTGCAGGGCCTGCTACATAATTTTTGAGAACCAGTGTGAAATGATAATCTTGTTCAAAACTGTGCTTTTAAAGGTACTAAAATATAAAACTTTTACCTTTTTTGTGTGGTCTTTCTCTTGACTACTGTTTTTGTTTTTGCTATTTGAAATTTTAAATTATTAGCATGAATTTTATTGCTTATATTGTGAAGTGCAAGCTTTTAATGCAAATATAAGAGCATTTAACTCATACAGAATCATTGAAATTTACATTTAATAACTCATCATGTGTATGCATTTTATTTTACCAGAACAGTGTAAATGCTGCACAAGAATAATCAATTCCTTTTATTTCATTTCTTGAGACTTGAACCTTCTACCAACACTCTCTACTTTGGGGATACGGATGATGCAGTATTCTGTGTTAAAGGGAAGTAACACAATTAAGAAAAAAAAGGACAGAGTTATTCATTTATTCTTATGTCTTAGAATGCCATTGCTTTCTTTCTATATTAGAAGTTAGTTCTAATTTTAACAGGAAGCATGGCTTCTCAGAGCTGTCAGCACACCTGCTTGCTTAATCATACCTGTAACAATCTTACTTTGCACTTGCACTGAGTCTTGTTGAAACCCCATGAGCCGTGTGTCCTCTGCAATCTCATTCTCTTGAGGCATCACAATCCATAAGCAAAGAGGGAAGCAAGGGACAGAGAACATGCACACTGCACACATTGCTTATGTGCATGCTGCATTGACCCACTGGGCATCAGAATATTCAGCCCAACTTGGGGGCATTCTGAGTGCATGCCCCTGTGCAATAACATAGATCACATGCCCATGAAGTGACATTGTCTTGGTGTTATACAGAAAAAGAGGTTTAAAAACAGGATGATAGAAACATTGTCATGGGCTTATTACATATAATGCACAATATCATACAGGAACTCAAATGAAGATTCAAGAAGATACTTCATTAAATTCTAGAATGGCATATTGGTAAGGATTGAACAAGCACTTCTAAAAAATCACTGTAGTGGATCTCTTCCATAAACTAATGATAAAAATGGGAGATGATGCCATTGGAATTGGCTTTCACAGTGGCAGAGGTTAATCGGAAGCATTGAACAAAAAGAGCAAGAAAGGTAGATTTACTCTAATAAGTAACATGATAGAAAGGTATTCATAATGGTCTAATCTGGTGTCATAATGGTCATCAATTTTCTAGCAATGAATTAAATGTATACTTAATCTATACAGCCAAGATAAACAGTGACTATGGAAAATCTGAATGAGAAAATTATAGAAATGTTCCCTAAAGATGTAGACCAAAGACTTTTATTTTATGCCAAATAAATCTTGGCTCATTACTGTTCCTTATTAGAGACAAATGAAAACAAAAACCACCTGTTCCAATGGTTTGGTACTGATAGACCTCTAAAAGTATATCCATGGTATAAAATATGGGACATATGAAAGTACCCCCCTGAAGAGAAGGTTCTCAGTAATCAAAAACACAAATACACAATACACACAATATGACTTGAGATATGGATATTTCTTACCTCTTTCCTTAGCATAGTTTGCTAGGTAAGCCTGGGTGGCTTAAACAACAGAAATGTATTATCTCATGTTCCAGAGTCTAGAAGTCCAGGATGAAGGTGTAGGCAGAGTTTGTTTCCTCTGAGGCCTCTTTCCTTGGCTTGTACATGGCAGTCGTCTCCCTCTGTATTCACATTCTCTTCCCTCTGTGCTTGTCTGTGTCCTAATCTCCTCTTCTTATACCAGTCATATCAGATTAAGGCCTGCCTGTGTGAACTTATTTTACATTAATTGCCTCTTTATCTACCCTATTTCTAAATAAAGTTACATTGTGGGATACTGGAAGTGAGGATTTCAACATGTGAATTTTAGGGGGAAACAATTCATTCCATAATACCCATTGATGAATTCATGGGCAAAGCAGCCATGGTGTTAGGAGTAAAAGTTAAGCAGGAGTTCAAGAACATGGTTTCCCTTTGCCAAATCTGATATTGTTACCAGCACTGCTGAAAGACTTTCCACAAGCTTTATTGGCTCATGTTGGGCATTAGAAATCATGTCTTAACCTTGGACTTCAGGATACCTTTACATCTAGCCACGTGGTGATTTCACTGGACCGTTTTCAAAGCAATGACTTCTCTTTGAAAGTTATTCAGTAGCTATTCAATATTCAGTTGCTGTACCTACTGTGAGCACAACCTTAAGAGTTAGGTTTTCAGTCCTCTATGCTCTGAGCCACTGAATGATATATCATGCAATCTTTTTCCATAGCTAGAATACATGGGTCCAGAAACCAAGGAACAGAAGTGGAGCTGATATTTATTACTATTACACACTAAAAACTACTTGTAAAATGCTGATTCTTTGACCTCAAAATCTGGACTCTGCTGGTTTAAGAAGATCTGCTGGTTGAAGAAGTCTGACCCTAAATCTGGGCTCTGCTGCTTTAAGACATCTTATTGGTACCCAAGGGAGTAATCCTTCCACCAGGGATATAAGAAAGTTTCTGTTAAATTGGAAGTTAAGAATCTCAGCTGTCATTTTGGCTCCTAATGATATAAGATAAAAAAGCAAACAGTTATTCAATATAACGTTAAAGGAACCCAAAGATTTCATAATCTGGAAATGTACGTTCAATTTTATATAATGTGTGACCTACTCACTTTTTCTACCTAGACCCTGACAAGGGGGAAAAAAGAGCAAAAATAAATCTGGTTTGGCTGATTATCTCTTGAAATTAGATTATGTGGCCCACACTTTCCAGAACTTGAAAGAGCTAAATCTGCATTTCTGAGTTTAGCCAAAAATATATGGAAAGCACATAAGATTAAAATATTTTATCAAAAATAATATTAAAAGTATTTTTAAGTTAGCAATATGTCAATTTTCATAATCTTTTGGAGTATGGCAACTTTAAAAATATACCTACAAATAAAAGGGTAGCAGTTACAATTTATAATAACTTGATAATCTAAGTAAAGCCTTTGCCTTTAATATTTTCCAGAAAGTGTAAAATTGGTTAACAAATTGTTGTTTCAAAAATGTTGTCATTTATTCATTTTTTGTTTCAACATAATTAACCATAAATGTATTGTTAGTCAAAAATGATTACAATTGTATTTATTTACCGATTTTACTTAATTTTTTAATAGACAGGGTCTCACCGTGTTCCCCAGGCTGGAGTGTGGTGGTGCTACCATAGCTCACTGCGGCCCAGGCACAAGGAATCCTCCTACTTCAGCCTCCCATGGACATGGACCACAGGCCCTTGCCACCACTCTTGCATAACTTATTTTTTCATTTTAATTTCTTGTAGAGACAAGGTCTTGTTATGTTGCCCAGGCTGGTCTTGAACCCTTGGCCTCCAGCAATCCTTCTGTCTCAGCCTTTCAAAGGGCTAGGATTATAGGCATGAGCCACTGAGCCTAGCCAAAGAAATTATTTTTGATGGTGGTCATAATGTGACTTTTGGCATATAGTTCAGAAAGGAATTCAAATAATTGAGTATCTTATTTTAAAATCCCTAAATTTCCCGACAACTTTTAAGTGAAATAAAATGTCTCCAGGGTTTGAATCTACAAAAATGAAGCAGAGAAATAAATCTTATCTTATATTACGTTATGATAGATAAACCTCATTCATGCATCCATGAGCAAATATATTAAAGAGCTGCATTCACTTGATTAATGCATTTCAAATATAATGCTATTCTTTATGCTTTACAATTACATATCAAAGTCTGTAAAATATGTATGTTGTTTTGAGGAGCTCTTATATAATAATTTTGCCAGAAGAAACTTATGGTAACCTGAACTTTCAAAAATGATTTTGTAATTTATTTACATATTTCATGGCTGAGAATTACAATAGGAAAACAAATAAAAGGCTTTCAAGAGTAAGTAACATATCAGATTAGAATAAAATTTTGTTGAGGGAATAGAATGGAAATATAAGTTCAGGAGGAAAACAATTAGTTACTTTTTACTTGGAAAAAACAAGTTGGTGATGTCTTTTTTTTCTTAAGATGACAATAAATATTAAATGTTTATTACATTTAGATTTCAATGGATACATTTTTAAGAGTAATGTAGCAGTTTTATTTGTGAAGGTTAACATTTAAAACATTATTTAGTTTGCAATTTTAAAATTGTGACATCAAAAAATTTGGAGACAATTGGGGAAGAATTGGAGGGCTGTCAGATAGATCCCCAGGGACATTGAAGGAACATGAAGAACATGGGGTATCCTGAAAGTTAAACACAGTTTGAAGCAAAAGCTATCCAATAATCTCAAATACAGCTAAGAAGCTAGGTAATAAGACAGAAAACCAGCCACTGATCTCGGCAAGAAATGGGTTACTGTTGGTCTTAAGAGCTACTTTTTCTAATGGTAGAGGAATTAAACAGCACCAGTGGCCTCATTACAGTACAGTGAAGAAAAATTAGAAAATAAAGAATTGGAGACAATGAAAAGGCACAACTTTCTGAGGCCGTGGGAGGAGAAATAGAGAAAATGGGTAGAAACTGAATGATTATGTGAGTTATGGCATTTTCTTTCGGTGGGTGATAATCACTAAGGAATATTTTATGATAATGATAATTTTATGACAATGATGATAGTAATGATACAATAGAAAGGAAAAAGTGGTCATGAAGAAGAAGGCTGATACAAGGGCAGGATTGAGGCTTGTGTTTTATTTTGTTTCATTATATTTTGCTTTTACAGGTAATACGGGATGGGTTGCAGGAATAAATAGAGAGGCTTTATTTTGATTGGGAAAACTACTCATTACTCCATTCTACTAGAAATGAAGGCATAATATGTGGTTTCAGATACAGGAAGTTGATGAGGTTTTCAGCAGAGTGATGAAGGCAGTTGGCTTATTGGAGATAGGAGGTGTTATAAAACAGAAATTCAAAAAATGATTTTACTAAAGAAATGTGGTAAGATTGGCAGTGATGATAACTATTTGAGATTTTTCATCATGATTTTGAAATACTTAACACTTTGTGTGATATCTCCAAGAGCATTCAGCTTTATATAAAAGCAGATTAATGCGTCAGTGGGGAGATGGGTAATGGAGTTAACTGTATTTTTCAGTCAGTTACAGAGAATGACAATCAGATTAAGGTTGGGCAAAGAGGAAGGGGTACATAATTCTGGTGAGGTATTGGGGAAATCAAGGCCCTTGACCCCCTAAACGTTCACTGAAAAATCACAGCTGGAAGGAGATTGATCATTACAAGAAAAAGTATAACAAACTTATTTAATGTGTATGCATGGGAGTCTTTAAAATGAAAACCCAAGCTTCCTATGAGGTACAAATCTCGTATGTCATTTTGACTTTACAGAAAAAATGCAGGCCAAGAGTGTGGCCGAACACAGGTAATATTGGTAAATTAGGTTTTACTGCCAGGACAGGTTATGGGGCAGGAGTAAAGAAGAGGCTTGGGTAGCAAAGGTAGCCTTGTTATGCAGATGAAGCCTTGTAGGTAGTAGCTCTCAGAAAGGATGGATAGTAAATGTCTCTTTTCATACCCTTTAGATGTCAGACTCTAAGTTAATCTCCCCTGGATCCAGAAAAAGCCTAGAAAGGGAAGGCCTAGCTGCATTAATGGAGATTCTCAACAGATGCAAATTTCCCCCACAAAAGACTTTGCAGGCGCATTTCCATTTGCTGACCCTGTGGCAGCTAGTTAAAATATGTCAGAGAAATATAATTTGGTGTAAAATATTTATGTTTCATTCGATATAATTTACAAAACACAAATGCACCCATTTTAAGTGTACAATTTATGATTCATATCAAATTTATCTATTTGTGCAATCATCACCAGCATCTGATTTTAGAACATTCCTAGAAGGTTCCCTTTACAGGTAATCCTCATTCTCAGGAAACTACTAATACTCCCCCAAACTCAGGCAACTACTAATCTATCCCCATATTCAGGCAACTACCCCCATACTCAGGCAACTACTAATCTATCCTCATACTCAGGCAACTACCCCCATACTCAAGCAACTACTAATCTAGTCTTTATATCTAAAGATTTGCTTTTTCTCAACTTTCTATATAAATGGAATAATACAATATGTGGTCTTTTTCAGCTGGCCTCTTTAAATTAACGTGATACTTTCATGTACGTCCGTGTGAAGAGACCACCTCACAGGCTTTGTGTGAACAAGGCTGTTTATTTCGACTGGGTGCAGGTGAGCTGAGTCAGAAAAGAGAGTCAGCAAGGGAGATGGGGTGGGGACATTTTATAGGATTTGGGTAGGTAGTGGAAAATTACAGTCAAAGGAGGTTGTTCTCTGGCTGGCAGGGGCTGGGGTCACAAGGTGCTCAGTGAGGGAGCTTTTGAGCCAGGATGAGTCAGAAGAAGGAATTTCACAAGGTGATGTCATCGGTTAAGGCAGGAACAGGCCATTTTCACTTCTTTTGAGATTCTTCAGTTACTTCAGGCCATCTGGATGTACACGTGCAAGTCACAGGGGTTATGATGGCTTAGCTTGCACTCAGAGGCCTAACAGATACATTCAAAGTTCAATCATGTAATAGTGAGAGACAGGATTAGCTGGATTTCCTAGGCCAACTAAGAATCCCTAAGCCTAGCTGGGAAGGTGACCGCTTCCACCTTTAAACATGGGGTTTGCAACTTAGCTCACACCCGACCAATCATATAGTAGAGAGAGCTTACTAAAATGCTAATTGGGCAAAAACAGGAGGTAAAGAAATAGCCAATTGTCTGTTGCCTGAGAGCACAGCGGGAGGAACAATGATCAGGATATAAACCCAGGCATTGGGGTGCTACCCTCTTTGGGTCCCCTCCCTTTGTGTGGGAGCTCTGTCGTCAGTCTATTAAATCTTGCAACTGCACTCTCTTTTGGCCTGTGTTTGTTATGGCTCGAGCTGAGCTTTCGCTCGCCGTCCACCACTGCTGTTTGCTGCCCCTGTCGCAGACCTGCCGCTGACTTCCATCCCTCCGGATGCGGCAGGGTGTCTGCTGTGCTCCCGATCCAGTGAGGCGCCCATTGCCACTCCCAATCGGGCTAAATGCTTGCCATTGTTCCTGCACTGCTAAGTGCCCAGTTCGTCCTAATCGAGCTGAACACTAGTCACTGGGTTCTACGGTTCTCTTCCGTGACCCACGGCTTCTAATAGAGCTACAACACTCACTGCATGGCCCAAGATTCCATTCCTTGGAATCCGTGAGGCCAAGAACCCCAGCTCAGAGAACACGAGGCTTGCCACCATCTTGGAAGTGGAAGCAGCTTGCTGCCATTTTGGAAGTGGCCTGCCACCGTCTTGGGAGCTCTGGGAGCAAGGACCCCCGATAACATTAGCATGTATCAGTACTTCGTGTATGGATATACAACATTTTATTTATCCATTTAGAAGTTGATGGTCACTTGGCCTTTTTCCACTTTTGTACCATTATAAAAAAAACAAAAAATATTTAAGATGAATAATTTTGGACATCTGTTGACAAGGCATAAAATGAACAAATGTTCAGGGCGCCTATAATTTTGTCTGAATATTATCCTAGACAAAGAAGTAAAAAACTGAGAGTTTAGAAGTTTGGATGAATCATTTATGTGTTGGTTTAAATCATAAACGAAAATGAAAAGAGTTGTAGAGGAGAAAGAAAAGGAAAGCTAGGTACTAAACTTATCAGTGAGTGTCAGTAAATAGCAACGTGAAGGAATGAAATGCAGTGAAATCTGATGACCTTCACTTCACACAGACTAGAGTTTAAAAAGGGAGGAGGAGAGACAATGGCAAGCAGCATGTGAAACAATGGCTTTTATTTGTATCTTCTTTATCTCATTTGGTATGTGAACTATTTGATATGTGAAATATAATGGTATGTGAAGAAATTAATAATCCCTCTTTTAAGAGTGCTGCAGAAGAAATAGCATCTTCATGGACAGCTAGATTTGCGTTAGAGCAAGAAGGTGATAGGGTGGCGGAAGGAAAGCTTACTTAGACAGAATGCCATGGAATAATTTAGAAGTTCAGGAGAAATGGAAGTCTTACAGTAGGTAGCTTGTCAGACACTAATAGGGCAGGAGAGGGCCCCCACCTCCCACCAGGAAAGTCAGGTGACCATTAGGTGATGGTCAGGCAGTTTGTCACACTGCCTCTCTAAAATAATAATAGGTCACAGCCAGTGCCAGGGAAAGGTAGTCTCCCAGTAGATAGGGAACACCTGAAACTGGTGATCAGCAGCTTTCTGATAAGATCTCAGGAGTTGGGTGAGTGGGCTCGAGCATGCACATTAAGAGGCAAAATGGCGAATATGACCTTCCAAGGACATTCTGCTGATAAGGGAAGAATGCCTCAAGTGAGTGTGCTCGTAACACCAGTAAACACACTGTGCATGCTCCCCTCTGAAGTGCTAGCAGGCCACAGGGATGTGGACAATTCACCCCCACGGAAGAATCAGGGGAGAAGGGATGCAAGACCCTGGAAGTACGCCAATGTATAAAACCCCAAGTCAAGATGTCAAACCCCACACTTGTCCTTCAAGTCACCCCCTTGGCCCTCTTCCAAGTGTACCTTTCTTCTCTTTGTTGCTGCTCTAAAGCTTTTTAATAAACTTTCACTCCTGCTCTAAAACTTGCCTGGGTCTCTTATTCTGCCTTATCCCCCTCCGTTGAATTCTTTCTTCTGAGGAAGCAAGAATTGAGGTTGCTGCCAACCTGTACGGATTTGCTATCAGTAACAGAAATAGAACTACAGTGGATTGAATGTGTCGCCTCAAAGTTTATATGTTGAAACCTAATCTCCAATGTGATGATGTTAAGTAAGAGATGAGACCTTTGGGAAGTGAGATTATGTCTCAAGGCCAAAGCCCTAATGACTGGGATTAGTGTCATTATAAAAGAGGACCCCCTCATTCCTTCCATCACATGAAGACTTTGGTGCTCTTACCTTGGACTTTCTAGTATCTAGAACTGTGATACATACATTTTTGTTGTTTATAAACCACACATTTTAAGGTGCTTTTGTTAAAGCGGTCCAAACAGAGTAAGACAGGGACTACTAATTCAGGGCAACATTTCTCAGGATTTATGTCATTACCAAAGTCCCATTTTATAACAAGTAGTTTATAACACTATTTTAATATTGTGAAATGTAATTCATAAAAATGTAAACAACTTGAAAACACACTTAAAAGTCAATGCAATATTCTAAGTATAATATGGGAAAATCAAAGGAAAATAATTCATATTAATCATGTATGTCACTATATTAACACTCAGACATGAGTTTAATATAGGTATAATAATATAGTCAGAAGCTTGCATTTCTACTTAGCATCATCCTGAATGAGGTAAAAACGCAGACTGTTAGTATCATGCCAGTCTGACAATTCAGACATCACGAGAGGCTAATGGTGAACCAATTTTCCGACATAATGACAATTTTGGTAAAGTGCCATTTCTTTAAAAAGTGTAGTCTTTTCTTGATTTACGTAGTTAAAATCGTAAAAAAAATCACAGGTTTTTGTTTTGTTTTGTTTGAAAAATAACAACTTTGTATTGAAAACAAATAATAGTCTTTGTATTTACATGTAAAAGATAAGGTAGGCTTCATGAATATCTTGAATATCCCAGACGTCTAAAAAGTCAAATTATACCTATTATTTCTGAATCCAGACCATTAAATACCAGTAGTAACTCCCCTCAACAATCATTGTAAAAACAAAAATGCAGCTTCCTAGGAAAAGTCAAGTGTGTGTTTAGCTCCAGTAATTCAAGGGAATATGTTGAGTATAATGAGAATTAGCATGCATGAATAAGCAACTATTTTTTATGCTTTTGGTAAGCATGAAAATGTTACTAAAAAAAAAAAGAACAAGATATGATAGGACTGGCCCTGGAAATCAGAGAATGAAACTACTAAGAATCACAGGCAGCTGCTGTTTTCTTCCCTAACCCAAGGTGTTGTGTGTTAAAGAGGGAGAGGGACATCTGAACATGGTGAGGATGGCCAGGCCCTTCATAGAAGGAATTGCTTCATCCGACTGCTTGGTTATAAAATATCAACATAGGGCTGAGTCTTCCAGAGGTCTGAAGGTTTTGTGGCAACTGAAGGTGCTTGTACAGACAAAAGGTAGACAGGTGGTTAAAACATTTAATAAGTCTTCAATGCATAGCAGTTTAGAGAGTGTTCAGAGAGAATCCAAAATACCTGCACACCCCAGCAAGCTTAATGTGTTATATCTATCTAAGTGGCATTCATTAAATATCTATTTTATTATAGAAAGTGAATCCAAGCACCTTGGAGATAAGAAGAGAGAAGAGAAAGGGAGCTCCCAGTAGAAGAACGGTCCTGAAAAAAAAAAAATTATAGCCCCAAACCTACATACCATATTCAGCCAAATAAAAGTCTTATAAGTATCAAAATACAGCATTAAAATAAACTGATTAAAATAGTGGTGTTATTTGAGTATCCTTGTTGAAGAGTCATATGCTCTCTAAGTTGCTCCTCAGATTTTACATCTAGCTACATGTTTCTCTCTACCTGAGAGGCATTTGACTAAAAAAAATAAAGTTCTATTTCTCATTTATCTCCAGTGACGAAACAGTGCTCCTTTAAGATTGGTGTGCTTGTCTTAAAGTGCTCCTTTAAGACTGGTGTGATTGGTTGATCACTTTATGTTTTGTAAACTTATGAAAAATCTAGACAAACTAATGGAAAAGATAAGATCTGGAGAAGCTTGCTAAATTCTCATAGATGGAAAAGCCATAATTGTTAACAAAACCAAGCCATAATGAATACTCCATGAGGAAAAAAATATAGGGGAATGGAAAGAATACATACAATTCTATTGTTGTTTGTATCCATTTTTTCTTCATTTGAAAGCATTGACTAGTGATGAGATTAATAAAGAGAATATATTATTCCTGATTTTCCAGGTTGTATATCTATTCCAATGTATAATTCCACTTCTACATTTTACACAATTTAGGAAGGAAGAAAGGAACACATTGTACTTCATACACAATATTCAACACAAGTTTCAGAAACATAGACATTCAAATATAAAATGTTTATTTAAAGAGGATAGTGATTATGTTATTCTACAATCTTTCTAAATAATATCCAATTTCTTATTAAAATCTAAAGTATTGAACAGCTTTCAGGTTTAAAATTGGCATTTATTTGTGATTAACTTACTCTCATAGTCAATATGAAATGAGTGTCCAGGTTAACCTAATGTTTTTATATCTTCATATACAGACAAGTTTTCTACTGCATAAGAATCTTTAGTTACATATTGTGGATTTAGTATGTATTAAGTTAAAGGAGACAGAACATGTTTTCCTAATTAACTTTCCCCAAAGTTTATTTCAGTCATGATGTTTAAATTTCAATTACATTGTTTTATTTCCATAGATGAATGTTCAATCTATGTAGATGAATATGAATGCATAACATTATTTTAAATAGCTGGAAAAAATACACTGCAAAGCATCTGATGTGCAACCAATTTGAATAATGTATGACTAGAGTAATATTTCCCTGAAGAACTTAAAGCGAATACTGTTATGTTTAATAGGCTAAGGTTATTTCAAATAATTAACAAAGAGGAATATTTTTATTGTCACTTTACTTTTCTCTAAATATTGAATACTTAAACAATCTGTACATATTCTAGAACTGTAATTAGTATATACGATACCATATTGTTCTCAAAAATACACCAGGACACAAACTGAAAGCAAATCACATTATGCATATTTTAAAAGTTAAACAATATGTGAACTTCTTTATATTTTGATAAATATTAAGAATTATTTATAAAGTGTTTTTAAGGTTTTTTATTAGGTGAATAATGTTTTCTTTCCTTCAAAATATAAGGCTCACAACTATAGATTTGATGCTTTAATTTTGAATACAAATATGGTGTCTACCAAAGTAAACTGATAATGAGAGTATAAAAACGATTTGCCCCTTGTTCCAGCCTCTGATTTTCCCACAGGTTCATTTTCCCCTTTCCCTCGAGAAACACACCATTGCATTTTCTAAATCCTTAATGTGTAATGATCTTCCATTTTTAACCTGTTGCCAATTATCAGCCCCACAGAAGCTATCTGAACATGTGGTTAGTGCACAGATTAATGGCATTCCCCAACTGTTTTTCATTTCATCCAGCACTCAATCTAGGTTCCAAAAACAGAAACAGTCTTGCATTGAAATGCTCATAAATTGCTTATTAAGGTGCTAACATTACACCCTTACTGCTTCTTGACATTCCATAGGCTTTAGGAGCTATCAGCCATGGCAATTGCTTATTATACTTGCTCTCCATTTTCGGTCCATGGAATAGCTTCAGTGATACCTTTCTAATTGGTTTCAGCTCTTAAATATGTTGGCTTCACATCCCCTCCATCTGCTCCTCCTTTTTCATCCCTTCGTGTTTAGTTCTTGACCATTTAGTATTTATAATGTAAAAGTTTTCAATTTTAAAATTACCTAAATATTGCTGCAATCACTACAACTTTATCATTAAAATACAAAAAAAAAAAAAGTTTTCAACCAGTAAACCTGGCTATATTTTATATTTGTGTTCAAATAACTTTATACTTTAAACTAGAGTATTTCACAGTTACAACTCAACTCTTAAAATATTCAAATCTTAAATAAAAATTATAAACTTTCTCTGAATGCTATGCTTCTTAAGTATGATGCTTATATATATAATAAACTTTAGTTTTAACCTTATTAAAATGATTATAAGTTTGAACTGATGAACATATTTTTAAATATAACAGCATTTTACATTTTCATATATTACTTCTCAGTTGATATAAGTGTAACATTTTACCCCAAATAATTTCTTCTTGGTTATAAAGTACAAATGATGACATATTACAAATCATTATTAGTTTATTCATTAACATGAAAGTAAGTTTATAAAAGAAAATTATATTAGCTCCTTCTAGTGTCAAAATAATACCTATCACCTTCTAATACTTTTCAGAAAGTGCAGGAATCCCCAGTATGTTTTAAGTTCTTACTGAACAGCAATAAAAAAATCTTAGAATATCAAAAACCATTTTTTCAACTCAACTACGACACAGAATAGCTGACAGTTTGTTAAGCCTTTTACTGGATAAATGTATTGAAATGCATGCAGTCATGTCACCTAGCAAAGTGAACTAGACATGATTATACAGCTCATTCTTCATTTGGTCTAGATGTTAAAATTTTGCAGCCTACAATTAAAATATATTGCATGTTTCCTGGCAAAACTTCTATAATCTTGTCCCACATTAATTGCTTATATTTCTAGTATATTTGGTTTTGTTTGTTTGTTTGTTTTTGAGACAGAGTCTCACTCTGTGGCCCAGGCTGGAGAGCAGTCGTGTGATCTTGGCTCACTGCAACCTTCGCCTCCCCAGTTCAAGCAATTCTCATGCCTCAGCCACCATCCCTACCCCCCATCCAAGTAGCTGGGATCATAGGCATGCACCACCAACCTTGCTAATTTTTGTATTTTTTGTAGAAATGGGGTTTTGTCATCTTGTCCAAGCTGGTCTTGAACTCCTGGCCTCAAGTGATCCCCCTGCCTCAGCCTCCCAAAATGCTGGGATTACAGGAGTGAACCACCACGTCCAGCAAGTATATTGGTCTTATTGAGATATATTATTTGTCTCATAGTGTCTGAATACTGATGATTATCTCCCGGAAGTACAACTATATATTTCATTTATATTGCTCATTTTATAATATTTCAGTAAAAACATTTTGCTTTAATTAAAGATATGCCTTAGCCAAGGATGCCCACAATTTTGTGAGATTTGAAAATTAATCAGGTAAAACCCCTTTCCTAAATAGGCTTGCAATCAATTTGACATACCATTCCATTGTATTTGTCAATGCACCTGCTTCATCTCTTGCATTCTGTTGCCCCCTCCTTTCTTCAGCACAGTGATAATTCTATAATGTCAAGTTACTTTGCACCAGTAATTTTTTCCCCACAATTTTTGGATGTTTTCTACAGAATTGGACACCAATGCAACTATTTCTTTCTATATTGATACCATCTTCTCTGATTCTCCTATGATTTTTTTTTTACCTAAATATGGTCTCTTTCACTGTTGCTCTTTTCTGTTTCTTTGACCTTTAACTTAACATTAAAAAAAGTATCTAAAGGCTTGGAATATGATCAACATTTTTCTACATCAAGCTCTGTTTATTTTACTGCTGTGATCAGCCATTTATATTTTTTTTCTTTTTTATTCTGGGCTTAGATAATTAAAAAAATGCCCTTTCTTGTATTCTCGGTCATTCATTTTTTTACTTATTAATAGTTTTATTGATTCATTCGTTCAGTCACACATTCAAAATAATTGAACTATAGAAACATAAATTTCAAATAATATAATAAAAACAGTGTGCATTCAAATTTTTTTGCTGAAATTTTCACTCCCAGATAATGGCCTTTATAACTTCAAATAGGTCTTGACTTTCTAAGATTTGACATAAAACCACACATTTATATATTTTATAACTTCTTTGGTCAATGAATCCTAGCAATTATGTATTTGATAAATCTTCTGGATTTCTCATTAAATCACATATGAGTGTACAAAAATCAGCTATCTTGTTTCTCTTATTTCAGTCACTTCATTATTTAATTCACCCCAGCCCCAAGCATAGCTGCTAGAATTTTCTTTTTTTCAAATGCTATCAACTCCCCCACTCTTCTTTGAGTGCCTAAATTGATTTCCTCTCTGCCTGTCAAATACAAATTTCTCTTTAACTTAGACTCAAGATAACTGTAGTATTCTTCCTTATGCCTATATAGTGTAAAGTTTCCCTAATTTAATTTATAGTACATTCACTTGGTAAGTGAAATTATCTACACTACACCAATGCATATTTAATTCATTGTAGTTCTTTTCTAGATTCCAAACTTAAGGTGGATAGAACTCTGAAGATAAGGCTTGTAATGACTGGTTATTCTTCTACATATAAAATAATGGCAAATCACAATATTGATTATTTAGTTTCTTTCTTTCTTTTTTTTTTTTTAACTATTTTCCAGTGAGAGCAGCGTCCACCGTTCCTTTCAGGAGAAGTAAATTTGTCAAATTGGTAGTGAAAAGACATGTGAATATTCAATATTTTGGTTTGACTGGTTTTGCTATGCTTTATTTTCTAAGTATGTCTTTGAAAACCAGAAGAAAATAATCATGTGATCGGGTATGTGTGGAAGGTGAGGAGCGGATCAAGGAGATACTACATGAAGGTCACCAGAGCCAGGAAAGAGAACGTGAGAAAGGTGAGGTATGAGCGCCATCTATGGCCAGCATTAATGAGTTGCTTGTGAACGGAGCAACTCCAGTCTACGCCTATCCACTGAAATCAACAGGCATTTCATCTATGCTGGTGAACAGTTTTTTAGGGTTCCTGTTGAATAAGGTCCTCCATGAGTAAGCACTCCACTTTTTACATCATCCCAGAGAAAGGTCAAATTTTAGTCTGGACCGTTCTTCCTGAATGATCCTAAACAAGTTGCTAAACTTTTCTGTACCTTAGTTTCCTCAACTACAAACTAGCATTATAATGATAGAAATATTTAGAGTTATTGTGAGAATCAATGTCACAATATATGTAAGGAGCTAAGAAGCATTTTGATGAACAGTCTTCAGTAACTGAAGGTGATCCAAATTTGTTTTGATATTAATAACATCCTTAGATAAGAAGTTTTATCAACAATTAATTGTTTTTATGTGATTTCTGGTTCTTATGTTCTTCCAGATAACGAACAAACAGAATTTTTTTTAAAAAAATTGTCGTTGTGTGTTAGTTACTAATTATTTACCACTTCAAATCTTTAAGTCTTCCCTTTTATTCCAGAATTTAGCTACTTTTCTTTCAGGCGTAATTTGACAGAGCCTGGACACAGGCCCATGTCAGGTCAAACACTGCTTTCTTCTCTTATTCCACAGAATGAAAAGACCATAGTAATCTGGTCAACACTCACATGCACAACTTAGAAATTTCAGGGTTCAATTATTGGCCACTGGGCAATAAAAAGGAATGGCTTCCTTTTCTCCTCTCTAAGATGTGAATCTATGAAAAATATATTTCAGCAATGTCCCCAGAAATTATTGTGGGATCCAGTACTCATTGCGTCATCTACCCTATTGTTGGTGTTCCCACCTTTCCTGCTTTATGACCCTCCCATCCCCCTCTGCTTTGCTCTTCTGTTTCCTGATACCAACTCCCAAATAAATTATATTAGAATCTGAGCTAAGATGAGTTGCTAATTATCTGCCTATGTAACTGAAATAATTTATCATGCAGATTCTAACATAATTTGTTCCTTACACTTGTTCAAAGATCCTTTGTAAGGGTTGTTTGTTTTGTTTCAGATACCGGTGTTTTACTTTCAGGCAAAATTTTTAGATTCTTATAATTAGAGATTTTTTTTTTCAATGAACACTAGTAATGTTTTCAAACATATTTTGTGTGTATGTGTGATATTATGTTTAACCAACACATTCTTAGAAACAGAAAACCATCTCAAAATGGTTGTAATCTAACCAGGTAGCCAAGTCCAGGCCACAGCTACATGACCTTAACAATACCTCCAGATGTGCCTCCGTTTCGTGCCAGTAGACAGATCTAAAAGGGAGCCAGCAGGGTGACACTGAGGAGTTAGCAACAGGCACTGAAGCTTTGAATAGAGCATACATTCAGACTTTGGCATCTGGTTCCTACTTTTGCCAAATGTGCCTTGTTTGCATCCACAGCTGTTAAATGTGTTTGCTGAAAAGGGATAGACTAGGGAGAAGAAAGAGATGGGCGAGAGATATGCCAGCTTCTGTGGGAGGGAGTGTCACGCCAACATGCAATTTACTTACAGTTAATTATTTGCTTTAGAAATCCCGTGTCATTTATTAGAATAACTGTGGTATATAGTGAACATGAACCTCATGCTAAAGCAGTCATCTTTATATTTTATTGTAAATGAAGAATTTATACTTGTGTTCATCTAATTAACACCTAAAGAGCAATACATCTTCATTTCCATCAAATAATATAATCCGGCAGTGAAGACTGAATTACTAAAGACAGGCATTTATATATTTCTGTCATATTTTTATTTTTTAAAAATGACTTGGCCATTAGAATTAGGATTTTGTGAAGAATTTCACAGTTGAAAAAACAGCTTTAGAGATTCAAAACCTTTTTCTAACCTAGAAAATAGACCTAGAAATTCTAAATATTTTCAGAATCGTAGTCTTCCTTCTAAAACTTATGACCCTCATATTCCAAAAGTTGTTTCAAAAGGGGAGATGGGAAAAAAAAGTTTACTGTGTTTATGATAAACGGAGGACATCTTGCTGCTCTTGTGATAAAAAGAGGGGAAAAGGCGTCTCTTGTCAAGACTTTCTTCTTTCTTTGTGATTAAATAATTTCTTATGATCTTAAGGAAATTTCCCACACACTTGTGACAATAAAAATTAATGACAAGGATCCTGATAATAAAAAGATAATTATTTTCCTTCTCCTATATAATTTTTATTTTTTTTTTTTAGAAATAACACATAACTGAGAAGTCTAAAACTGGCTATTCATTTTCAGTATGTTCTAAAAAGATGATCAGTCCCATGGCTAATGCTTATTTTGAGTAACTGGGTTGATACTGACCATCTTTTCTAATTTAAAAAAAATTAGCCAAGTTTTGATTTGATATTTCCACTAGCTGTTGTTGAGGTCACTAGGCTGGCAGGCATATTGCCAGGCTTGCTATAGACAGTAGACCATGTTTGCTGACTCCCTCACCATCTACCTCCTTTTTAGTGTGTGGGTTGTATGTGCGTGTGTGTATGTGTAAATGTGCATGTATTTAGACCAGCCTGGCCAATATGGTGAAACCCCATCTCTACTAAAAATACAAAAATTAGCCGGGCATGGCGATGGGCACCTGTAGTCCCAGCTACTCTGGAGGCTGAGGCAGGAGAATCATTTGAGGCTGGGAGGCGGAGGTTGCAGTGAGCCAAGATCGTGCTACTGAACTCCAGCCTGGGCAACAGAGTTAGACTCTATCTCAAAAAGAAAGTGCATGAATTTTGCCTGGCTATAGACTGCTGCGTGAATTGTCTTAATCATTTCTAATGATTTTATGGTTGTCTTTTAAAAATAATTTATTGAATAGTATGAAGGCAACCAGTAACAATCAGAATCAGACAAATATGAAAGGCCAGAAAAGCAAAAGTGGTATAAATTAAATTAAAAATAAAATTTCATGTATTAGCTTGAAGGCTTTCATTTGCAGTTAACAAAACCCGAAAGGCATAAACAATGTAAAATTGTACTAGTCATAGAAATGAAAAGTTGTAAGCTAGATTGAGCTTCAGGCCTCCAGTTCCCACTTTGAGAGGGTCTCTACCTCACTCTCATTTGCATTAGCTGTGCCGTGAATTCTTTTATGATGGCAATATACTGTCACCAGTAGCAACCCACATGCTTCTTCCTTTACACCTAAGAAAAAACAAAATAATTATTTTCCACAAGTGAGAAAATAAATCCTGAACTTTGATGTTATTGGATCAACCTGAACCAACCTCTATTACCAGTGTAATGTCAGGAGATGGCTGGTTTAACTAATTAGCTCAACCTGGATTTCTGCTTGTTCCACATCTAACCATCATGGTAATGGAAGTGTGATTATAACACGCTTAATAAATGTGCCAAACAGCATAATTACAACAGAATGATAAAAGGCTGCTTTTTCTGAAATTTGGTTGATACGAAGAAGGGAGGTGAATAATGGGTAAATAAGGATCTCCTCTTCCTAGCATTTCTAAAAACAAAAGCAAAAAGGGTGTGAGTTTTCAGACTTAACCTTTCTTTGTCTATAAAATAGTTATTACTATTTTATACAAACAACTGAAAAATATGATGTACTTTGTGTGTATATTTCTAAATGTGTGGATGTTTGGGTTATTATAATTTATACTATGTGATTAGTCAAATGCAATAAATTCATTACTTGACTTTGTGTTAAAAATATGTAATAAAATATCAATTTAGGTAGCACTAAATTTCTAATAGCATTTCTCATTACTCTATATCCAGGAGAAAATCAGAAAAAATATATATATATTAATATGCTGTACACATACATACATGCATACAATACACATATACATACAAAAACATATATGTATATACATGTATATACGTATGTGTGCATACACACATAATACATACACATTCATGCATATTTGCAAGTGCCAGGAGAGACAAAACAATACATTAATTAATTTTTCAGTTATTTTCAGTGAGTGGTAGTCTATTATGCACAGAAAAAAATACACATGAAAGACTATAAATTTTGGAAATATTGTTATAACTGGGGCCCCTAGAATTGTTTGTTTTGCAGGTCTGGTGGTTAAGATTGTAAATCTGGGCATATAATATTAAGGACAGGGTTGGAGCTGTCGGATTTGAAGCATATAAAGTCTTAACTGCCACCGATAATGTCACCCCGAATTATTATTTCCATTTCAACACAGATTATAGGACAGGAAGACATAAATGGAAATTAAAAAATAAATTCAGCACATATTTCAGAAAGTACCTTTCCATGTGGAGAATAATAAATGCTTAGAAGAGCCTGCAGGCAAAGTTGTTGAGGCAAAAAACAGGAGTGTCATTCAAGAAACAATTAGATGCCATCCTTGGGGAAATGGAGTACTATAAAGGATATGCTTTGATGGACCAAGTGACCTTTATTCTCTCTCCAAAAATCTCTCGTGTTCTTATAATTCTAATCGTGAAATATTTCAGCAATCTGGCCTCCAGCAATGTGAATTCTTACTTGAATTATTCACCTCACCAGTTCACTGCTGAGGAAGAACCTTTCTCATAGTGCTACAAAGATTGCATATTGACCAGATGTAATTCCCAATGCTGTTGCTCATAGGCATTTTATTCACAAGGATGCCTTAGGTCTGACACTATAAAGTGATTGCTTATAGAAGAAGCCTCTTTTAAGCCCTATGTGATTGAAAAGTGGCCTACACTGGAGAAGAGAGGCTTAACTAACGTATTAATTATAGAAGGCATGAGGATTATTTAAGATATTTTAATGGCAAAAGTTATTTCAAATTGTAACTGGCCTTAGTAGAATGCAGCCTATATTGTTTATTTCTTACTTAGTATTGGATATGATAATGACTTATCTTTAGCTACTGACTTCATTTCAATAGAATGTTGTGAAAATAAAAGTAAAAAGAGATTGGTCATTTTACAGTTTATTTAAAAACAAACAATTTCAATAATAGCACAATTTAGAAAACTAGAAATTGATACCGAATAAATGTAATGTATGAATTTTACTTGGTACATTTGAGTAAGCTGGGAAAATCAGCTATCTACGCTTTTCTGATTTTACATCGATTTAGCGGAACACAGAATTCTTGAGAACTCAGGGATTTTGTGACAACTACAGTCACCCTATTATGTTCTTAAAGTGATATTCAGTGAAAGAAAAAAGAACATGTTTTTATCTGTCATCTAAATGGACTCCTAGAGTTCCTTCTGTGTATCACAAATTGGAACTCGGTGGTGAACTGAGTGCCGAGAGCATATTTTCAAAAGCTAACGGAAGGTCACATACATCGGAGAGTTCAGAGCACAAAAAAGCCCAGAGGCTTCAAAAATGCCAGGTGTATTTTAGTGTTAAAACAAATAAATATTGTATGAATTTTTGCCAAAGATAAAAGTCATACCAATTATGTTTAAAAATATAAATCTTCATTATAATATGAATTACCTTCATAATAGATGAAATATGCTAAAGTATATAAATAATATGTTTATATACCTCTGTAACAAAACATTATACTAATAAAGTAAATGATAAAGTTTACAAAATAGTTTATGGCAAAGATATAATAGGTGAAAATATTATGCTAAATAATATGGTCTGTGGACTATATCATTTAAGAGTTAAAACAACTTTTTATTTATGGAAACATCACCCATCTAGAAAACAGATTTTTTTAACAGTGTTCAATGTGCAGAGAATAATCTTATGACATAAATTTAAAACAATGGAATAAAAATAAAATCAAGTAATTCTCAAACCATGCATAATGAAATGAGAACTTATGTAACAAAACAGCAGTTAAGTAATGTTTTGTAGTCCATAGTAATTATATTAATTAACCAAGCATTTTAATAGTTTATGCATTTTTTAAAAATCTCACATAAGAAATATTTATAGAAGCATAAAATCTTATATAAGTATGAAATACTTATTAAAATTAATCCACTAGCCTATATTATTGCTTTAGTCATCTACTTTAGCTTAAAAATGGGATTTGATCATTCTTTGATGGCTGGAAATTATTCAGAGGTCTTTTTTGTGAACAACGTACATGATCATTCTGGATAATCAATCTACTCTGTTCAATAATATTCTGTGATTATAATGTAGTGAGACCAATTCTGTACTACCTCAGTGTAAAAATAAGTAACAATACTTCTTTAGACTGATACCTTTTGCTTCATACAGAATGTGATGTGTTGCCATGGTTAATTTACCAAATAAAATTTTACTCAATTGGTAATCAATATTTCATTTTTTTAAACTTAGCCTCCTAATATCACTAAGTTCTCTAGGTGGTAGTATTATTCCAAAAGAATCTAAATGCCTACAGTAAATATTGAAGAAAACAACATCCTAATAAAGTAAAATCCGATTTATCATTTTTTATCATGTCACAATGGAACAATTTCTATACATTTATTTTACAAGTGCTCTCTTTTTTATATACTTTAAGTTTTAGGGTACACATGCACAACGTGCAGGTTTGTTACATATATATACATGTGCCATGTTGGTGTGCCGCACCCATTAACTTGTCATTTAACATTAGGCATGTTTCCTAATGCTATCCCTCCCCCCTACCCCCAAACACCACATGTTCTCACTCGTAGGTGGGAAATCTGATTTATCTTATCTTACTCAAGGAGATTAACAAATATTATATATTTAAAAATGATTAACAACATTTTTAAATATAAGAAGGATAACATTAGGCCCAGAACTCTGAAACTTGAGGTTAAAATAAAAAAAAATCCCCAAGACATTGTTTTCGTCTTCATGTAAGTTGATAAGTGAAAGTTTTAGACAAGATAATTGATTCCAGAAATAACAAAAATACTTGCCAGTCTTAAAAAGTGAACAGTGTGTTCTATTTCTTTTAAAGGAGTTCTAGGTAAATAGGAATAACAGATTACTACTGAGAAGAATTAGAAAACCTGGCCAACTATAAATACTTTTTTTTGACAGCATGAGAGAAATTACAAAACAGTGAAGAACAACAGAGCCAATACCCAAGAGAAAAGAAACGAGAGAAAAGAGCTTAGTATTTGAGGTCACTTATCCCCAGGAATGCTTCTATTTAAAATGTGGCTTCTACTTAAAATGGCCCAGGGACCCTCTGATAGTCTTTGAACTGTTCATACCAGTTAGTGACAAAGTAGGGGGACAATGTGCAAAAAGAAAGATATCCAAATGGACCGTGAGCGTATGAAAAGATGCCTGATTGTGTTAGTCTTCATACAAATATACATTGAAATAACAATCAGGAGCCCTCATATACTGCTGGTGGAATGTGAGTTAGTTATGCAGATTTTAGTAAACTTTTTACAGTATCTTATAAAATTAATTTTATAAACATTGACACAACTGTACTCATTGGCATATGACTACCAGAAATAGGTGCACATTTGCTCTGAGACACTTATATAATAATAATTACAGCATCATTATTTACAGTAGTATAAATATGAAACCCAAATGTTCATCAACAGTAGAATGTACAAATAAATGGTAAATTCATATAATAAATACTTTATGGCAACAAAATAACACATTAATGCACCTTAATAATAAGGATGAGTTTCATAGAGCAATAAATTGAGGAAACTAAGTAAAACTAAGTAGTGATTGTATATTTCATTTATATAAAATAGAAACCTTGTCAAACTACTCTGTGGTATTAGAAGTCAGTGTAATGGTTCCCTTTTGTGAGGAGGGAGGGAATAGTGACTAGCAGTGGCCAGGCCTATAGCCTTAAAGAAATGAATTCCTCCAACCACATGATCCAATCGTTCCCTAGTTGAGACTTTAAATGAGAATGCAGTTTTTGATTTAAAGTTGATGGTAAAGATATTATAGGTGAAAATATATTTAATGATTAAGTTTATTTTTTAATGTTATATTTTATAAATCACACATCTGGTATCATACATGAGAAATCTCTGCCTATGTAAAGGTCAGAAAAACCTGCCCCTTATTTATCTGTATCCATTTTATAATTTTAGTTTTTACAGAGATTTGTTATGTTTTTTGAAGTTTTTTGTCGTTCTGGAATAACTTCTGGTAAGAATCTAAGTTCATCTTTTTTAGGTGTATACATGTGTATATATGACATACGTGGTTTTTGCATGTAGATATTCAATTGTTCCTACAATATTTGTTGACAAGATGATTCTTTTTCTATAGAATTCTTTAGCACTTTTTGTCAAAGATCAATTGACTATACAATGTATTCATATGACAACACTGTAATTGTACTCTTTAAATGTATACACATTTTTTAAACAGTTTACCATATATGTGATGGTGTATTTTTGGACATTCTATTCTATTCCATTAATTTATATGTTTATCTTTATAACAATATATACTTTATTAATTACTGTAGGTTTTAATAAGTCTTGAAATTAGGTAGTCCTTCTGTTTTTATTTTTCTTTTTTTTTTTCTATATTGTTATGGCTATTCTAGTCCTTGAAAACAAGAACTAGAAAGAATCAACATGTTAAAAATATGGCTAGACAATGCATGGCGGCTCATGCCTATAATCAGCTTGCCAATTTACAAAATAAGGCTGGGAGGATTTTGATAGATATTTTGTTGACTGCAGATCATTTTGTGTAGAATTGCCACATGACCAAAATTTATTATTTCAATAATTCCCTCTTTATTTAGAGATGTTTAATTTTTCTCAATAATCTTTAATAGTGAACAAGTCCTATACCATTTTTGTTGGAATTGTTGAAATTTTGTTAACTGCAGATTATTTTGTGTAGAATTGCCACAGGACCAACATTTATTATTTCAATAATTCCCTCTTTATTTATTTAGAGATCTTTAATTTTTCTCAACAATGTTTTATAGTTTTCAGTGAACAAGGCCTATACCATTTTTGTTGAAATTGTCCCTAAGTATTTTATTCTTTTTGTGCCATTATGATAGGATTTTTTTAATGCTTGAGACATTTTTTCACTTGTATATAGAAATCCAACTTATATTTTATATTAATCTTATATCTTGCAATATTGCTAAACTCTCTTATATTTCTAATTGCTTATTTGTAAATAATTTTAGACTGCTTACATGAAAGATATTGTTGTTTATGAATAAGACAATTTTTATTTCTTATATTTTAGTCCACCTGCCTTTAATAACATTTCTTAACATTTGTTATACTGGCTCAAAGCCCCATCACAATGTTGAGTAGGAGAGGTAAGAGAGAATCTCCCTCCCGTGTATCCAATCTCTTCAATCTTGAGAAATTCAAACAAGGCCTGCTGTTAGCTGTAGTTTTTTTGTTTGTTTGTTTGTTTGTTTGTTTGCTTTTTGTTTTGTTTTGTTTTTTTGTAAATGTCCTTTATCAAGTTGAGAAAATTAACTTCTATTCCTAGTTTACTGGGAGATTTTGCTTTTGCTTTTGTTTTTAAAATTGTAAATGGGTTTAGATTTTTGTCAGATGATTTTGTGTATCTATTGTGATAATGATGTATATTAATCTAGCTTTTTGTTTGAGTCAGTAGGGTTTTTTTGGTAAATAGTATTTAATTATATAAAATGCCTAAATTTGTCAGTTCACCTTGTGTTAGTCCCTCCGGGGTGCTATTATAAAATACCATAAACTAGGTATTTTATGAATAAAAAATTTTATTTCTTACAGTTCTGAAGTCTGGAATGTCTAAGACCAAGGCACAGTCAGATTTGTTTTCTGATCAGGGCCTGATTTCTGGTTCATTGACAGCAACTTCTCACTGAGTCTTCACATAGTGGAAGAAGGGGCAAGGGAGTTCTCCTGTGCCTCTCTTACAAGGATGCTGACGTTGTTACAATGTTTATGTTCCCACAAAATTCGTATCTTAAAATCCTAACCCTCAAGGTTATGATATTAGAATGTAGATCGTTTGGGACCTGAATAAATCATGAGAGTGGAACCCTCACGAATGAGATTAGTGCCTTTATAAAACAGATACAAGGGAATTTGCTCACTCCTTCCACCTTGTAAGGATGCAGTAGGAAGTTGCCATCTGTGAGGAACAGACTCTCAACAGGCACTGAATCTGCTGGCATCTTGATCTTGGACTTGCCAGCCTCCAGAGAAGTGAGACATAAATGTGTGTTGGTTACAAGCCACCCAGTCTATGGTATTTTGTTAGAGCAGCCTGAAGGGACTAAGACAGGCATGAATCCCAATCATTAGGTGTCTGCTCGCATCATGTAATTACCTCCTAATATGATCACCTTGAGAAACAAGAATTTTACATATAAATTTTGGAAAGACACAAATATTCAGACCATAGCACACCCATTCATAGACACCTGTGTCTCTGGTTTGGGGTATTATAAATTAAGTTGTAATGGATATTCTTTGTGTGGGCATATGTTTTCATTTCTCTGGGTAAATACTTAAAAGAATAATTTTATGTCATATGCTTGACATGTGTTCAGTTTTTATAATAAGCTGCTACAAATGTTTCTAAAGTGGCTGTGCCATCTTAGGCTTCCACCAACAAAGTTAAGGGTTCCAGCTTCTCCACATCCTCACCAACTTTTAGAGTTGAAAATTAACTTCAAAGAACAGACTTACACTAGTATATACGGAGAAGAGCTTCCAAATAAATAAAAAAGAGAAAGTTAGAAAACAAAAGTAAAATGCATAAAGGAAATGAACTGACTTTCAACTGTAAAGAATATGAATGGCTAATAAAAACATGAATGTAACTTCAAATTATTAACTATACAAGAAATATAAACAGACATTGAAAAGATGTATTTTTTGGCAATTAAACTAATAATAATTTTAAAACATGATATTCAGTTTTATTAGAATATATGGGAAATGGTCATCCAATATATTGCTATCAGAGTAAAAGTTGGTAAAATTTTCTGGAGGATAGTATGGAATACTTATCAAAATCCCTAAAAGTGTGTTTGTCTTTTGAGTCTATAATTCTAGAACTATAATATATCCTAAGCAAATTATTAAGAACATTTGCAAAAATAAATATGAATGGTCACTCTTTACATAGTATATATTTAGAAATAAACTAAAAGTATTATATAAATTTTTAAATTAAATATTGGGCATATCCTTTGTTTATAATTATTACTGTTAAAAACCTAGTAGTGTAAGAATTTATAGGGACATAGGAAGTATTTAAGTTTGTATTCTTGTAGAAAGTATGATCTTACAAAGAACTTGTTCTTTAAAATATGCATATATAAGAATAGAATATATAGAGAAAAATACTACAGTATTTATTTTGTTTATATTTATTATTTTATTAAATTGTGAATGACTCTTCCCTTTTATGTTTTGTATAAGATTTTTCTCTTGCCAGCTCACTTATCCTCACTAAATCATCTTATCCTATTAACCATCTCCGGAGTCTTAGTCCATGATAAGGCGGGTTAACCTTGTAAACACATTGTTGCTTTGGGAATAGAGCTCTTCTGGGACAAAACAAGCTGGGTATTTACAATAATACTTTAGTAAAAATTAGCTAAAAATACTATTATTAATAATAATTCATATCCTCAATATATATTAGTTCAATAGATCTGACTCCACCTTCTTAGTCTTTTGATGTAAGCTAAAGCATGTTGTCTCAAAGGAAAAAACAGAAATATTGTAAGATTGTTTCAATACCAGAAAATTATCCTGTCTAAGATTAATGCAATTAATAGTTTGAAGACGGACTGCTGATTTTTATTCTACAATGTGGAAAGAAAAAAAAATAGTAGAATTATGCACAGAAAACTATGCGTCAATTTATTTCCTTTATTTGGAAGTGCAGACAATTAATAGAGATGATTGACAACTTTACTGGATAGATCAAACAGAATTCTCAAGTAAAGACAGGAGATAGTAATAAGATAACATATTACTAGGTATCAACATTGTTGCTAGGGAAAAGAAAAAAAAGCAGTGTGGTCATTTTAACAATATTAATTATTCCAATCTATGATCATGGGATATTTTTCCATTTGTCTGTGTCATCTGCAATTTCTTTTACCAGTTGTTTTTGTAATTTTACTTCTAGAGCTCTTTCACCTTCTTGGTTAAATATATTTCCAGGTGTTTCCTTCTTGTAGCTATTGTAAACAAGATTGCTTTCTTGATTTCTTTCTCACCTTGAATGTTATTGGTATATTAAAAAAACACTGAATTTTGTATGTTGATTTTATATCTTGACACTTCCTAATTCATTTATCGAATCTAGTTTTTTGAAGAAGTGTTTAGGATTTTATAAGTATGAGATTATGCCATCAGTAAACAGAGGTAAGTTAGCTTTATCTTTCCAATTTGGATGTCTTTTATTTCTTTCTCTTGCCTGCTGGCCCTGGCTAGGACTTATAGTTCTATGTTGCATGGGAGTGGTAAAAGCAAGCATCTTCGTCTTGTTCCAGTTTTTAGGGGAATTGCTTTCAACTTTTTCCTATTCAGTGTGATGTTGACTGTGGGTTTCTTATATTCAATGCAATCTCTATCAAAATACCAATGTCATTTTTTACAGAATTAGAAAAAACAATTCTAAAATTCATACAGAACCTGAAAAAGAGCCACCAATAGCTAAACTGGTTCTAAGCAAAAAGAACAGATAGCCTGCAAAATGGGAAAAACGTTTACAAATTATGAATTTGACAAGGGACTGATATCCAGAATTTGCAAGGAACTCAAAGCTGGAAGGATCACGTTACCTGACCTAAAATTATTCTTACAAGGCTATAGTAACCAAAACATCACAATGCTGACATGGAAAAATAGACACACAGATCAATAGAATAAGATAGAGAACACAGATATAAAGACACATATCTACACCCAACTGATCTTTTGACAAAGTTGACAAAAACATACACTACAGAAAGGCTACCCTTTTTAATAAATGGTGCTGGGAAAATTGAATTGCCCTATGCAGAAAAATAAAATGACCCGTCTCACACCATATGCAAAATCAACTCAAGATGGACCAAAGTTTTAAATGTAAGACCTGACTACTTTAAAGTTCATATGGAACCAAAAAAGAGCCCGCATTGCCAAGTCAATCCTAAGCCAAAAGAACAAAACCGGAGGCATCATGCTACCTGACTTTAAACTATACTACAAGGCTACAGTAACCAAAACAGCATGGTACTGGTACCAAAACAGAGATATAGACCAATGGAACAGAACAGAGCCCTCAGAAATAATGCCACATATCTACAACTACCTGATCTTTGACAAACCTGAAAAAAAAAGAAATGGGGAAAGGATTCCCTATTTAATAAATGGTTCTGGGAAAACTGGCTAGCCATATGTAGATAGCTGAAACTGGATCCCTTCCTTACATCTTATACAAAAATTAAGTCAAGATGGATTAAAGACTCAAATGTTAGTCCTAAAACCATAAAAACCCTGGAAGAAAACCTAAGCACTACCATTCAGGACATAGGCATGGGCAAGGACTTCATGTCTAAAACACCAACAGCAATGGCAACAAAAGCCAAAATTGACAAATGGGATTTAATTAAACTAAAGAGCTTCTGCACAGCAAAAGAAACTACCATCACAGTGAACAGGCAACCTACAGAATGGGAGAAAATTTTTTCAATCTACTCATCTGAAAAGGGCTAATATCCAGAATCTACAAAGAACTCAAACAAATTTACAAGAAAAAAACAAACAACCCCATCAAAAAGTGGGCAAAGGATATGAACGCACACTTCTCAAAAGAAGACATTTATGCAGCCAACAGACACATGAAAAAATGCTTATCATCACTGGCCATCAGAGAAATGCAAATCAAAACCACAGTGAGATACCATCTCACACCAGTTAGAATGGTGATCATTAAAAAGTCAGGAAACTCCAGGTGCTGGAGAGGATGTGGAGAAACAGGAACACTTTTACACTGTTGGTGGGACTGTAAACTAGTTCAACCATTGTGGAAGTCAGTGTGGCTATTCCTCAGGGATCTAGAACTAGAAATACCATTTGACCCAGCCATCCCATTACTGGATATATACCCAAAGGATTATAAATCATGCTGCTATAAAGACACATGCACATGTATGTTTATTGCAGCACTGTTCACAATAGCAAAGACTTAGAACCAACCCAAATGTCCAACAATGATAGACTGGATTAAGAATACGTGGCACATATACACCATGGAATACTATGCAGCCATAAAAAATGAAGAGTTCATGTCCTTTGTAGGGACATGGATGAAACTGGAAATCATCATTCTCAGCAAACGATCGCAAGAACAAAAAACCAAACACTGCATGTTCTCACTCGTAGGTGGGAATTGAACAAGGAGAACACATGGACACAGGAAGGGGAATATCATACACTGGGGCCTGTTGTGGGGTGGGGGGAGGGGGGAGGGGGGACAGATAGTATTAGGAGATATATCTAATGCTACTTGATGAGTTAATGGGTGCAGCACACCAACATGGCACACGTATACATATGTAACAAACCTGCACGTTGTGCACATGTACCCTAAAACTTAAAGTATAATAAAAAAGAAATACTCAAGAAAACGTAGGGGAAACTCTTCTGGACATTAGTCTAGACCAAACTTTTCTAACCCGCAGGCCACGGGTGGCCCAAGATGGCTTTGAATGCGGCCCAACACAAATTCTTAAACTCTCTGACAACATTATAAGATTTTTTTATGATATATTTTTTTAGCTTATCAGCTATCATTAGTGTTAGCGTATTTCATGAGTGGCCCAAGACAATTTGTCTTCATCCAATGTGGCCCAGAAAAACCAAAAGATCTGGGCATCCCTCGTCTAGACAAAGAGTTAATGACTAAGACCTCAAAATCACAAGTAAAGCCAGGCACCACGGCTCATGTCAGAAATCCCAGCACTTTGTGAGGCTGAAGCAGAGGATCACTTGAAGCCAGGAGTTTGAGATCAGCCTGGGCAACATAGTAAAACTTTGTCACTATTAAAAAGTTTTTAAAATATTAGCCAGGTGTGGTGGCATGTGCCTGTAGAAGTAATTGGGAGGTGGAGGCAGGAGGATTGCTTTAGCCTAGGAGTTTGAGGCTGCAATAAGCTATGATCACATCACTGCATTCTTGCCTGGGCAACAGAGTGAGGCTCTGTCTCTTAAAATAAAAAGCACAAGCAACAAAAACAAATATTGACAAATGCTACTACATTAAACTAAAAAGCCTCTGCACGGCAACAGAAATAATCAGCATAATGAACAGATAATCTGCAGGATGGGAAAAATATTTGCAAATTATGAATCTGTCAGGGAACTGACCTCCAGAGTTTTCAAGGAACTCAACTTAAAAGGCACAACAAAAAATAACCTCATTAAAAAGTGTGCAAAGGGCAAGAATAGACATTTTTCAAAAGAAAACATACAAGTGGCCCGTAAGTATATAAAAATTGTTCAACATCTCTAATCATCAGAGAAATACATATTAAAACTACAATGATATATCATCTTACACCAGCCAAAAAAACTATTATTAAAAAAAAGTAACAGATGTTGGCTAGGATACAGATGAAAGGGAATGCATATACACTGTTGGTGGCAATGTAAATTAGTATAACCACTACGGAAAACAGAATGGAGATTCCTCAAAGAACTGAAAGTAGAACTACCATTCGAGCCAGCAATCCCACTAAACGGTATCTACCCAAAGGGAAAGAAATAGTTATAGCAAAAGATGTCTGTACTCATATGTTTATAGCAGTGCTTTGAACGATTTACAGTAGCAAAGACCTGGAATTGACCTAAGTTTCCATCAGTGGGTGAATAAAGAAATTGCAGTGTGTGTGTATGTGTATATGGATATACAAAATGTATAAATGTGTATATAAACACACAGTGAAATATTATTCAGCCATGGAAAAGAATGAAATCATGTCTTTTGCTACAATATGAATGAAGCTGGAGATAATTATCTTAAGTGAAACAACTCAGAATCAGAAAGCCAAAGAACACGTTTTCTTACTTGTAAGTGAAAGCCAATTAAAGTTTACACATGGACATTGATGTAGATTAATAAGTCACTAGAGGTTCAGAAGAGTGGGAGAATGGGGGGATGGGAGTGCAGGATGAGAAATAATTCTGAAGAGGTTGAGGCGGGAGGATCTCTTGAGGCAAGGAGTTCAAGACCAGCCTAGGCAACAAAACGAGATCCCATATCTACTAAAAAAAAATTTAAAAATTAGCCCAGTATGGTGATGTACCCCTATAGTCCTACCTGTTTGGAAGGCTAAAGTGGGAGGATCCCTTGAGCCCAGGAGTTCAAGGCTACAGTGAGTTAGGATCACACCAGTGTGCTCCATCGTAGCCAACAAAGCAAGGCCCTGTCCCTAAAAAGTAAATAAATAACTTAATTGGTACAATGTACACTATTCTGGTGATGGTTACCCTAAAAGCCGAGATTTCATTACACAATATATCTATGTAACAAAATTGTATGAGTACCCACTAAATTTATACAAAAAGAAAAAAAAAAAGAAGTAGCGTAAAGAGAGTAAAGAAGAATAAAAAAGAAAGGCATATTATACATTGAATACCATTCATTGAAGAACAAGACTTACTGGCAAAAAACAACTATGGAATATAAGTTTCCATTTGGCACATGGCATATCAAAATATATATTGTGATTATATTACCATAAAATAATATTTTATACTATGCTTTACCTTATAGAGACTTGTACATATGTGGTAGTGCTTACTCTAATTTTACTTCTCAGAATATCTTAAAGCAAAGATTTCTACCATATTTTCCCATAATGTTGGATTAATTGTTTTTCTTATTCTCCTCATATTTGGCTTTATAGTGGGGGAGAAAACTATAAAGTACACATTCAGCATCAAGGAAGAGTATTTTTCCATGTGGACTGAAACAAATAGCTGCCTAGAATTGGTCCCCTATGAGTTAATTTAAAACATTGTAGTCTGGGATTTTATAACATAGGCTCTAAATCATCAAATTTTATCTGAAGAAAAAGGAAATAGAAACAAAGTTGGAAGGCTCATAATAACGTTAAAGAAGACTAAAACCACTACTACTAAACTTTCAATTAATTTTAAACATATTTTATTGTGTATTTACATTTTTCTAAAATGTAAAATTTATGTGTTTACATTTTTCTTAATATATTATTTATAATAGATGTCAATGGTTGAAATCTACATTTTGTAATTATCTGTAAAATAAATTTGTACATTATATTTTACCTTTTCATGATTCTTCCATTTGTCTTAGCCATCTGTCCAATAATAAAGTATTGGTTGTATTTTAAATGTTATGTTGTCACATTTGGTTGGTAATCAATAGACTATTACTTTTTCCCATTTTACATTTACATAAATAATAATATATCCAGTATTTTATACTCAAAATTTTAAATAATAGCTAAGTTTAATGATTTAAAAATAGCAATAGTATTCCTTTAAAATAATAATTATTGAGCTGTTAACTGTTTTTTAAGGTTTTATTTTATTTTTAATTAACACATATGATTGTACATATTTATGGGGGACAGTGTGATGTTTTCCTACTTGTGTACGTAGTTCAATGATCAAATAAGGATATTTAGCTTGCCCATCACCACAAACATTTATCATTTCTTTGTGGTAAAAACATTCAAATCCTCTGTTACAGTTTTTAGAAATATATAATGCAACATTGTTTATTAGAGTCACCCTACTATGCGATAGAACAACAGAATGTATTCCCCTTATCAATCTGTAATTTTATACCCATTAACTGATCTCTTCCCATCGATCCCCTTTCCTCTACCCTATCCAACCTCTGGTAACCTGAATAATAGAAGCCCTCTGTAGTTCTATGAGATCAGCTTTTTATAATTCCTCAAATGAGTGAGATCACGCAGTATTTGTATTTACGTGTCTGACATTTCACTTAACATAATTCCTCCAGGTTTGTGCAAGTTGCTGCAAATGACAGAATTTAATAATATTCCATTGTGTGTGTACAAACATTTTCTTTATTTATTCATCTGTTAATGGACACTTAGGGTGATTCCATATCTTATCTATTTTGAATAGCACTGCAATAAACATTAATGAAGACAAGTCTTCAACATAATTATTTCATGTCTCTTGGATATATACCCAGTAGTGGAATTACTCAATCGTACGGTAATTCTATTTTTAATTTTGTGAGGAAACACCATACTGTTTTCCATAATAGCTGTACTAATTTACATTCCTACAAACAGTGTGTAATGGTTGCCATTTCTTCACATTCATGTCGGCATTTGTTATTTTTTGTCTTTTTGAAACAACCATTCTAATTCAGGTAAAGTGATATCTCGTTGTGGTTTTGCTTTGCATTTCCCTGATGATTTGTAATACTGAATACTTTTGGTTCATATACCTAATGAAATAGCAATTTGTATGCTCTTTGGGGACATATCTATTATTTTTAACATCAGGTTATTATTATTATTATTTTTGCTATTGAGTTGTTAGAGTTTCTTATGTATTATGGATATTAACCCCTTATGAGATGCATAGTTAGCAAATTTTTTTTACCTATTCTGTACGTTGCATCTTCACTCTGTTGATTGTTTCCTTTGTTGTACAAAAGCTTTTCATTTTGATGTAATCCCATTTGTCTATTTGTGCTTTTGTTGCTTGTCCTCTTAGGTTTATTTATTTTATTTTATTTTTTTAATCCTTGCCCACACCCGGGTTGTGGACTGTTTCCCCATATATTCGAGTAATTTTATAGTTTTGAGTCTTATATTTAAGTCCTTAATCCACTTTGATTTAATGTTTATGTAAGGTGAGAGATAGAGGTCTGGTTTTATTATTTTGCATGTTTTCCTTGTACAATTTATTGTAGATATTGCCCTTGTCCCTATCTATGTGTGTTTTTGGCACCCTTGTTGACAATCAACTGGCTTTAAGTGTTTGAATTTAATTCTGTGTTCTGTATTCTGTTCCATTGGTCTATGTGTTTTTTTTTTTTTTTTTGCCAATGCCATGCTGTGTTGGTTATTACAACTTTGTAGCATATTTTGAAGTCAGCTAGAGTGATGCTTCCAGCTTAGTTCTTTTTCCTCAAGATTACTTTGGCAATTCAAGGTCATTTGTACCTCCACACAAATATTAGAATTTTTTTTCTGTAAAGAATGTTATTAGTATTTAAATAAGAATTGCATTGAATCTGTAGATCACTTTGGGTAGTAACGACATTTTAACAAAATTATTCCAACCCATGAGACAAGATATCTTTTCATTTATTTGTATCATCTTCAGTTACTTTCATCAATGTTTTATAGTTTTCATTGTATATATTTTTTACCTTTTTGGTTGAATTTGTTCAGATGTATTTTATTATTATTTTTGGTAGCTATTGTAAATGAAATTGTTTCTTGATTTCTGTTTCAGATAGTTTGCTACTGGAATATAGAACAAAAACTAATTTTTTTGTATGCTGATTTTGTATTCTTCAGCCTTATTGAATTTTCTTATTAGTTTTAAGAGCTTTTTGGTGGAGTCTTTAGGGTTGTCTGCAACAAGGATAGTTTGACTTCCTCCTTTTCAATTTATATCCCTTTTATTACTTTCACTCTGTAATTATTCCTCTAGCTAAGACTTCCAGCATGATGTTGAGTAAGAGTGCTGAAAGTAGGCATCCTTGTCATATTCCAGATCCTAGAGGAACAGCTTTCAGCATTTTTTTTTCTATTCAGTATGATGTTACCCGTGGGTTTGTCATATTTAGCTTTTATTACTTTATTTTTATTTTTATTTTTGGAGACAGAATCATCCAGGCTGAAGTGCAGTGGTGCGACCTGAGTAGCTGGAACTACAGGAGCATGCCACCATGCCCAGCTACTTTTTGTATTTTTGGTAGCAACGAGGTTTTGTCATATTGTGCAAGTTGGTCTCAAACTCCTGGGATCATGTGATCAGCCTGCTTTGGCATCCCAAAGTGCTGGGATTACCGATGTGAGCCACCGCACCTGGCCATATATGGCTTTTATTGTATTGAGGTATGTACGTTCCATATCAAGTTAATTGACAGTTTTTATCATGATGAGATATTGAATTTTGTGAATGCTTTATGAGCATCTGTTGAAATGATTATGTAGTTTTTGTTCTTCATTCTGTTTATATAATGTATTGCTTATGTTGAATCATCCTTGCATCCCTGGGATGAATCCCACTTAATAACAATAAAAGATCTTTTTAATGCATCGTTGAATTCAGTTTGCCAATATTTGGTTGATGATTTTTGTGTTTATGTTCAACAGGGATCTTGGCCTATAGCTTCCCTTTTTAATCAAGTTTTTGTCTGGTTTTGGTATCAGGGTAATATCAGACTCATAGAATGAGTTTGGCAATATTCCCTTTTCTTTATTTATATATTTTTTGGAATATTTTGAGTAGAATTGGTCTTAGTTTTTGAAATGTTTGGTTGAATTGGGCAGTGAGGCCATCAGGTCCTGGGATTTTATTTGATGGGAAACTTTTTAATTAAGGTTTTCATTCTTGTTGCACATTATTGATTTCAAGTTGTTCATTTTTTTCATGGTTCAATCTTAGTAGATTGTGTCCAGAAATGTACGCATTCCTTTTACATTTTTATTTTATGTTCATATAGTTGTTCATAATAATTTCTAATGATTCTTTTCATTTCGTGGTATCAATTTTAATGTTTCCTTTTCATGCCTAATTTTATTTGTCTTTTTTATTTTTATGTCTAGCTAAAGTTTTATCAACTTTGTTTATCCTTTCAAAAATCCAACTGCTCATTTTGTTGATCTTTTGTACTTTTTTAAAAAAATTTCTCCATGTTATTTTTCTCTGATATTTAATTATTTTTTATGTTTACTAAATTTGAATTGCTTGTTCTTGTTTTTCTTATTCCTGGAGGTGCAATATTAGGTTGCTTGAGATCTTTCTAATTTTTCAATGTGTTTATGTACTACTGTAAACTTACCTCTTGGGGCCTGGCATGGTGGCTCACGCCTGTAATCCCAGCACTTTGGGAGGCCAAGACGGGCAGATCACGAGGTCAGGAGATCTAGACCATCCTGGCTAACAGGATGAAACCCCGTCTCTACTAAAAATACAAAAAAAAAAAAAATTAGCTGGGCGTGGTGGCAGGCGCCCGTAGTCCCAGCTACTCGGGAGGCTGAGGCAGGAGAATGGCGTGAACCCGGAAGGGGGAGCTTGCAGTGAGCCGAGATTGCACCACTGCACTCCAGCCTGGGCGACAGAGTGAGACTTTGTCTCAAAAACAAAAACAAACAAACAAAAAAAACTTACCTCTTAAGGCTGTTTTTTCTATAGCCCCATAGGTTTTGGTATGCTGCATTTCGATTTTTATTTCTCAAGAAATATTTCAAGTTTCTTTTTAATTTGTTCATTAACCCATTTGTTGTTCAGGAGAATGTTGTTCAATTTCCATGTATTTGTATAGTTTCCAAAGTTTATTTTGTTAATGATTTCTAGTTTTATTTATTGAGACTTGTTTTGTGCCCTAACATATGATCCATCCTAGAAAAAGTTTCTTTTTTCTTTTTTTTTTCTTTTTGAGACAGAGTCTTGCTCTCTTGCCTAGGCTGGAGTGCAGTGGTGCAATTTCGGCTCACTGCAACCTCCGCCTCCCAGGTTGAAGCAATACTCTTGCCTCAGAACTCTTGAATACCTGGGATTTCAGGCGCGCACCACCACACCCAACTGATTTTTTTTGTATTTTTAGCAGAGATGGGGTTTCACCACATTGGTCAGGCTGGTCTCGAACTCGTGACCTCATGATCCACCCGCCTCGGCCTCCCAAAGTGCTGAGATTACAGGCGTGAGCCACCATGCCCAGCCAAAGTTTCATATTTTGATGAGAAAAATATGTATTCTGCGACTGTTTGGTGGAATGCTCTGTAAATGTCTACTAGGTTTATTTGATCTACAGTGCAGTTAAATCTGATGTCTCCTTGATGATTTTCTGTCTGAATGATCTGTCACTTGCTGAGGTCTATAGTTTGTCAGCCCACTAACTCCCTGAAACAGGCTACTTAGAAGGTTGATTGTCAGCAGCCATTAGAAGAATATGCTGGCAAACATTTTCCAGGTAGACACTGGGAGCTTTGAGTTTTAGTCCCTTCTCTCTTCTTATCCCAAAGAATGCATCCTCTGGAAGTGCTATATGCTTGTATACAACTGCTATTGTGTTCTGTGGTCTAGGGAGACTTGTGTATGCCTATTCCCTTCCACTTCCAGAGCTAGGTGAATTAGGAGCTGTGAGAAACTTCAGAGTTAAGGCACTGTGTATGTGTTCTAAACCCTTCTCTCCTCATGGAGTTGGGAATTTCTTCCTGATTACGTGTTGCAGTGCCTGGGGTGGAGTTTGTGCCCAAGTGTGTCTCAGCTTTTCCTATCCATTTGATGTAAGTATTTTCTCTGTTGCCTGGTGTGTAGGTGGTATGGTATGAATGTCCCCAGAAAGTTATGGGTTGAAACTTAATGTGATAATATTAAGACATGAGGCCATTAGGAAGTGATAAAGTTAAGAAGGTAGAGCCCTCACGAATAGGATTTACAACATTATAAAAGGGATGGAGGGAACTAGAGAACATCATTTTTGTTCCTCCCTCCCCTCTGCTATGTGTGGACACAGTGTTCCTTCCCTCCAAAGGATAATATATCAAGGTGCTATCTTAGAAGCAGAGAGAAACTCTCACCAGAGAGCTACTGGTATCTTGACTGTAGAATTTCCAGGTTCCAGATTACTAGAAATTATGGTTTTATTGTTTATAAAATATCCAATGTGTGGTAATTAATTATAGTAGCACAAACAAATAAAGTAGGAGTCACAATTCATGACTCTCAGAGGGAGTTGACCCCTGTTTAGATGTTCACTTGGTGCATCCATGGATGGAGAGATCAAGAGCCTTCTATCTGCAATGTTGCTATTGTCACTCTGAACCTTTCTTTTTTTCTAATATATATATGTAATTCTACATATGTTTCTCTAAGTTCTGATTTTGTGACATGTAAATTTTGATCATTTTATTTTAATTTCACTTAGTTTAAAACATTTGCTTAATTTTTGTTTTTTAGTCTCCACTGATAGATGTGCTATTTGGAAGTGTGTTGTTAAATTTTCAAATCTTCAGGAATTTTCCAGGTTGATTTGGGGTATTGATTCTTGTTTTATTGTACCATGTTCTGAAAACATACTTTGTGTGTTTGCCGGTTTTTTTTTTTTTTTCATTAGGAAAAATGTGTTTTATTGCCTAGAAAATGCTCTATCTTGGGAAATATTACACTTGAGGTTAGGGAGAATGTGTATCACATTCTTGTTGTAAAAAGTAATCATTCTCTAAATGTCAGATCAAGTGCATTTCAGGTCAATAATATTCTTGTTGATCTTCTTTCTTCTGATCTATCACTTATATACGGATATGTTGAACTTTCTAAATACAATAATGGATTTGTCCATTTCTACTTTTAGTTCTATCAGTTTTTGCCTCGCAAATTTGGATGCTCTAGTTTTAGGTTTACGTAGGTTTCAGATTCTCTTTGGAGAATTGTCTTATTTATCATTATATAATACCTGTCTTTATCCCTGATAATTACTTTTATTTCTAAAGTCTGTTTATCTTGAAATTAATATAACTACAGCTTTCTTTTGATTAGTGTTACATGATATATTTTTATCCCCTTACCTTTAACCTATCAGAGTCTTTAGCTTTAAAGGCATAACTTGTAGTAAACATATAGCTGAGTCTTCTTTTTTCTTAATCCATTCTGAGAGCCTTTTCTAATTGATGTATTTAGACCACTCTAATTTAAGGTGATTATTGGTATATTTGAATTATTATCAACAATGTTTATTACTGTTTTCTTTTTGCTGCTAGAGGCCTTTTTTTACTTTCTAATTTTAATTGAGAATTTGATCTGAATTCACTTTATTTCTTTAAGTGTATTAATTTCTTTTTTTTTTTATTGTTTGCCCTAGAGTTTACAATTTACAGATTTAACTAATCTAAATCCATCCTCAAAAAACACTATTTCTTTCATCTGTAGTGCAGGGAAATGAACATGTTGTATTCCCAATTTCTTACCCCCTTTGTTTCTTGTAATATTACTGGCATACATTTCACTTATCTATATGGTATAATCACTCAATATATATGCTATTATTATCTTAAACAAATAGATACCTTTTAGATTAATTAAGATTTTAAAAAATCGTACAATTATACTTGCATTGTTTTCTTTCTAACACTTTTCCTTTCATTATGTAGATTTGTTATTTTATTTTATTTTATCCAGAATAACATCTTCTTTTTATTATCATTTTATTTCTCCCAGAAGGACCTTTTTTTCCCACATTTTTTGCAGGGCCAATCTTTTGGCAATATATATTCCTCATTCTTGTTTGTCTGAGAAAGTTTTTATATCTTCTTCACTTTCAAAGGACAATATCAATGGACCTAGAATTCAGTCTTGATATTTTATTTTGCTTTAAAAAGAAAACCTTTAAATGTTTTACTTTACTCTCTTTTTTCTTGCACGGTTTCTAATGAGAAGTCAGCAGTAATTCTTACACTTGTTCCTTTACAGGCAACTTGTCCTTCAGCCCCCAGCTTCCTTCAACACTTTGTTTTTGGTTTCCTTTTTGTTTTTTTTTCTTCAACTTTTAAGTTATGGGTACAGCAGGAGGTGCAGTGTTGTTAGAGAGGTAAAGGTGTGCCATGGTGGCTTGCCTTACAGATCAACTCATCACTAGGTAGTAAGCCTAGCATGCATTAGATATTTTTCCTGATGCTCTCCCTCCCGACCCCCAACAGGCCACTTTGTGTATTGTGGCCCCCCTTGTCCATGTGCTCCCGTAATTCAGCTCTCACTTATAAGTGAGAACATACAGTGTTTGGTTTTCTGTTCCTGCGTTCCTTTGCTGAGGGTAATTGCTTCCCGCTCCATCCATGTCCCCACAAAGGACAGGATCTTCTTCTTTTCTATGGCTTCATAGTATTCGTGGTGTGTACATACCACATTTTCTTTATCCAGTCTATCATTGATGGGCATTTGGGTTGATTCTGTGTCTTTGTTATTGTGAATAGTGCTACAATGAACACATATGTGCATGTGTCTTTAGAATAGAATGATTTATATTCTTTTGGGTATATACCAGTAATGGGATTGCTGGGTCAAATAGTATTTCTGGTTCCAGATCTTTGAGCAATTGCCAAACTGTCTTGCACAATGATTGAACTAATTCCCATTCACATCAACAGTTTAAAAGTGTTTCTATTTCTCCACTTCTCCAGCATCTATTGCTTCTTGACTTTTTAATAATCAGCATTCTGACTGGCATGAGATGGTATCTCATTGTGGTTTTGATGTGCATTTCACTAATCATCAGTGATGTTGAGCTTTTTTTCATATGTTTATTGGCTGCATGAATGTGTTCTTTTGAGAAGTGTCTGTTCATGTACTTTTCCACTTTTTAATAGGTTTTTTTTTTCTTGCAAATTTGTTTAAGTTCTTTTCAGACTCTGGATATTAGAGCTTTATCAGATGCATAGACTGCAAAAGTTTTCTCCCATTCTGAAGGTTTTCTGTTCATTCTGATGGTAGTTTCTTTTGCTGTGCATAAGCTCTTAGCTTAATTAGATCTTATTTGTCAATTTTTGCTTTTGTTGCAATTGCTTTTGGAGTTCTTGTCATGAAATATTTGCCCATGCCTATGTCCTGAATGATACTGTTAGATTTTCTTCTGTTTCTTTATAGTGTTGGGTTTTACACTTAAGTGTTTTACCCATTTTGAGTTAATTTTTTTTTTTTTTTGTATAAGGTTGTACTAGTCAGGGTTCTCTAGAGAGACAGAACTAATAGAATAGATATGTATATATAAAGGGGAGTTTATTAAGTAGTATTAACTCACGCGACCACAGGGTATCACAATAGGCCATCTGCAAGCTGAGGAGCAAGGAAGCCAGTCCGAGTCCCAAAGCTGAAGAACTTGGGAGTCTGATGTCCGAGGGCAGTAAGCATCCAGAACGGGAGAAAAATGTAAGCTGGGAGGCTAAGCCAGTCTAGCCTTTTCACGTTTTTCTGCCTACTTTATATTTTAGCCATACTGGCAGCTGATTAGATGGTGTCCACCCAGATTAAGGGTGGGTCTGCGTTTCTCTGCCCACTGACTCAAATGTTAATCTCCTTTAGCTACACCCTCACAGACACACCCAGGACCAATACTTTGCATCCTTAAATCCAATCAAGTTGACACTCAGTATTAACCATTACAAAGGTGTAAGGAAGGGGTCCAGTTTCAGTTTTCAGCATATGGCTAGCCTGTTTTCCCAGACCATTTATTAAACAGGGAATCCTTTCCCCATTATATTTTGTATAGGTTTGTCAAAGATCTGATGGTTGTAGGTGTGTGGTCTTATCTCTGAGTTCTCTATTCTGTTCCATTGATCTATGTGTCTGTTTGTGTACCAGTACAGTGCTGTTTTGGTTACTGTAGCCCTGTAGTATACTCTGAAGTTAGGTAGAATGATGCCTCCAGCTTTGTTCTTTTTCCTTAGGATTCTCTTGGCTATACAGGTTCTTTTTAGGTTCCATTCACGTTTTAAAATAGTTTCTTCTGATTCTGTGAAGAATGTCAATGATAGTTTAATGGCAATAGCATTGAATCTGAAATTGCTTTGGGCAGTATGGCCATTTTCATAGTATTGATTCTTCCTATCCATGAGCATGGAATGTTTTTCCATTTGTTCCTGTCCTCTCTTATTTCCTTGAGCAGTGATTGGTAGTTCTCCTTGAGAAAGTCCTTCACTTCCCTTGTTAGTTGTTTTCCTTGGTGTTTTATTCTCTTTGTAGTAATTGTGAATAGGAGCTCATTCATGATTGTGTTCTCTGCATCCTTGTTGTTGGTGTGCAGGAATACCTGTGATTTTTGCACATTGATTTTGTATCCTGAGACCTTGCTGAAGATGCTTTTCACTTTAAGAATTGTTTGGGGTGAGACTATGGGGTTTTCTAGATATAGGATTTTGTCATCTGCAAACAAAGATAGTTTTACTTCCTCTCTTCCTATTTGAATATGTTTTATTTACTTCTCTGCCCTGATTGCCCTGGCCAGAACTTCCAATACTATGTTGAGCAGTGGTGAGAGAGGGCATCATTGACTTGCACCAGTTTTCAAGATTACTTCCATCTTTTGCTCATTTAGTATAATATTGGCTGTGAGTTTGTTGTATGTGGCTCTTATTATTTTGAGGTATGTTCCTTCAACACCTAGTTTATTGAGAATTTTTAACATGAAGGGAGGTTAAATTTTATCAAAGGACTTTTCTGTATCTATTGAGATAATCGTGTGGTTTTTATCTTTATTTTTTGTGTGTGTGATGAATAACATTTATCGATTTGCATATGTTGAACCAACCTTTCATCCCAGGAATGAAGCCACCTGGATTGTTATGGATAAGCTTTTTGATGTACTGTTGGATTCAGTTTGCCAGTATTTTATTGAGGACTTTTACATTGATGTTCATCTGGGTTATTCGCCTGAAGTTTTTATTTTTTCTTGTTGTATCTCTGCTAGGTTTTGGTATCAGGACAATACTAGCCTCATAGAATGAGTTAGGGGGGAGTTCCTCCTTTTCAATTGTTTGGAATAGTTTCAGAAGAAATGTACCAGCTCTTCTTTGTACATTTTGTAGAATTCAGCTGTAAATCTAACTTGTCCTTGGCTTTTTTGTTTTTAGAACTTGTTGTTGGTCTATTCAGGGATTCAACTTTTTCCTGGCTCAGACTTTGGAGGGCATATGTGTCCAGGAATTTATCCATTTCTTCCAGATATTCTATTTTATTTTCATATAGGTGTTTATTATATTCTCTGATGGTTGTTTTTGTTTCTGTGGTGTCAGTGGTGATATCCTTCTATCATTTTTATTGCGTCTATTTGATTCTTCTCTCTTTTCTTATTAGTCTAGCTAGTGGTCTATTTATTTTATTAATTTTTTTCAAAAATCAGCTTCTGGATTTATTGATTTTTTGAAGAGTTTTTCGTGTATCTCCTTTTATTCTGCTCTGATCTTGGTTATTTCTTGTCTTCTGCTAGCTTCGGGTTTTGTTTGTTTGTTTTTGTTTTCTCTTGTGTCTCTAGTTCTTTTAGTTGTGATGTTAGAATGTCAATTGGAGATCTTTCTAGCTTTTTAGTGTGGCCATTTAGTGCTATAAAGTTCCCTCTTAACACTGCGTTAGCTGTTTCCCAGAGATTCTGGTACGTTGTTCCTCTGTTCTCATTTATTTCAAAGAACTTCTTGATTTCTGCCCTTAATTTCATTATTTACCTAGAAGTCATTCAGGAGCAAGTTCTTCAATTTTCTTGTAGTTTTGTGGTTTTGAGTGAGTTTCTTAATCTTGAGTTCTAATTTGATTGCACTGTGGTCCGAGAGACTGTTATGGTATCAGTTATTTTGAATTTTCTGAGGAGGTTTTTACTTCCAATTATGCGATTAATTTTAGAGTAAGTGCCATGTGTTGCTGAGAAGAATGTCTTTATGTTGTTTTTAGGTGTAGAGTTCTGTCAATATCTATCAGCTCCACTTGAACCAGATGTGAGTTCAAGTCCTGAATATCTTTGTAAATTTTCTGTCTCTATGGTCTGTCTGGTATTGACAGTGGGGTGTTAAAGTCTTCCACTGTATTAGTTAGGGTTCTCTAGAGGGGTAGAACTAATAGAATATATGTACATACGAAGGGGAGTTTATTAAGAAGAATTGACTCACATGATCACAAGGTGATTCTCTATGATAGGTTGTCCTCAAGCTGAGAAACAAGGAGGCTAGTCTGAACCCCAAAACCTCAAAAGTGGGAAAGCTGAATGTGCAACCTTCAGTCTGTGGTTAAAGGCCCAAGAGCCCCTGGCAAACCACTGGTATAAGTTTAACAGTCCAAAGCTGAAGAACTTGGAGTCTAATTTTTGAGGGCAGGAAGCATCCAGCATGGGAGTAAGGTGAAGGACGGAAGACTCTACAAGTCAACTTCTTCCACCTTTTCCTGCCTGCTGTTGCTACCCATACTTGCAGCCAAATGGCTGTAGCCCACCCACACTGAGGGTGGATCTTCCTGAGGGTGAGTCTTCCCCTCCAAGTCCACTGATTAAAATGTTAATCTTTTCTGGCAACACTCAGAAACACCCAGATACACCCAGAAACAATACTTTGCATCATTCAATCCAATCAAGTGGACTCCTAATATTAACCATCACAAGTCCACCCCTTGTCAACTAGAACCCATACACATCTCCAAATAAAGACAAAGATAAGGTCATAATTAAGCCTAACATAATACAGCTATCCTTAGTATAACCAGAAGTACACTAATTCTTAACCTAAATGCTATTGCATAAAGTTAACAACATTTAAATGCTGATACGAAGTCTGTAAAACTTATGTCACATATTAAAGGAAAAAGGAAAGAAAATGAAGATATTTTCTTAGCACAAGTATATACATACACAAACATGTTCTTAACAAAATAAGGAGAAAATACTCATGACAGTTACAGTACTCATTTCTGTAACTGGTCACGGGATCGTAGCTAGTATTGATGAATACCTTCTTCTTCTTGACTTCAGAAAGCACCTCAGAGGTCCTGGTTTTTTACCTAGTGTAGTGACCCAAACCTTCATTCTTGAGGGTTCTGGGCCATTTGTAGTCCTGCCTGGATTGGGTCGTTGTAGTTTCCCATTGACCTTAATCACAGGGCATGACAATACTAAGAGACACCCTATGGGATCTCCTGTATTTCACACAAATCCTTCTTTACCTCCATTGTGAAGTAGTAGACTGATGTCATCTTAATAGTCTGGTCAGTCACCCCAGCCAACACTGTAACTTCCTTCTTAGCCTGTTGATTCAGAGGAAGGAAGAGCCCAAAGTGGCCAGGTAGCAATCTTAACTTCCAGTTTAATGGAATCATTGTGTCTCCTGGTAGCAACATTTCTCCCCTGGATCTAAAACCTCTAGGCCAGCGAAACTTAATGTTGTGGGAATAGGAAGAAAAATTTTGCTAGTGGGTTACTAGGGGTGATGGTGAGGGATGCCACTTGCACTTCAACTCCTTGATTTCTGAACCCATGAATCCTAGCTATGGGAGAACCATCACACCCATTATTTGTGTGTGAGTCTAAGTCTCTTTGTAAGTTCTAAGAACTTGTTTTGTGAATCTGGGTGCTCCTGTATTGTGTGCATATATGTTTAGGATAGTTAGCTCTTCTTGTTGAATTGAACGCTTTGCCATTGGGTGATGCCCTTCTTTGTCTTTGTGATCTTGGTTGTTTTAAAGTCTGCATTGTCTGAAACTAGGATTGCAATATCTGCTCTTTCTGTTTTCCATTTGCTTGGTAAATTTTCCTCCATCCCTTTATTTTGAGCCTTTTTGTGTCTTTGCTTGTGAGATGGGTCTCTTAAACACAGCACACCAAGGGTCTTGACTCTTTATCCAGCTTGCCATTCTGTGTCTTTTAATTGGGGTATTTACCCCATTTACATTTAAGGTTAATATTGTTATGTGTTAATTTGATCCTCTCATCATGATGCTAGCTGGTTATTTTGCAGATTTGTTTATGAGGTTGGTGCATAGTGTCACTGGTCTGTGTACTTCAGTGTGCTCTTGTAGTGGTTGGTAATGGTTCTTCCTTTCCGTATTTAGTACTTCTTTCAGGAGCTCTTGCAAAGCAGGCCTGGTGGTGATTAATTCCCTCAGCATTTGCTTGTCTGAAAAGGCTCTTATGTCTCCTCCCCTCATGAGGCTTAGTTTAGCTGAATATGAAATTCTGGGTTGAAAATCACTTTCTTTAAAAATGTTGAATATTGACCTCCAGGCTCTTCTGGCTTATAGGGTTTCTGCTGAGAAATCTGCTCTTATTCTGAGAGGCTTCTCTTTGTAGATGACCTTGCCTTTCTCACTGGCTTCCCTTAACATTTTTTTCTTTCATTTTGACTTTGGAGAATCTGACTTTTATGTGCCTCGGGGCTGATCTTCTTGTGGAGTATCTTACTGGGGTTCTCTGGATTTCCTGAATTTGAATGTTGGCCTGTCTTGCTAGGTTGGGGATGTTCTCCTGGATGATATGCTGAAGTATGTTTTCCAACCTGGTTTGTTTTCCCCGTCTCTTTCAGGTACTCCAATAAGTCATAGGTTTGGTCTCATTACATAATCCCATATTTCTTGAGGGTTTTGTTTGTTCCTTTTTCTTCTTTTTTCTTTATTCGTGTGTGTCTGTCTTATTTCAGCAAGAATAGTCTTCAAGCTCTGAAATTCTTTCCTTTGCTTGGTCTCTTTAGCTATTGGTATTGTGGTTGTATTGTGAAGTTCTCATGTTTTGTTTTTCATCTCCGTCAGGTCATTCATGTTCCTCTGTAAACTGGTTACTCTGGTTATAAGCTCCTGTAATGTTTTATCATGGTTCTTAGCATCTTTGCACTGGGTTAGAACATGCTCCTTTAGCTCAGTTAAATTTGTTATTATCCATCTTCTGAAGCCTACTTCTGTCAACTCATCCATCTCAGACCCAGCCCAGTTCTGTGCCCTTGCTGGAGACATCCTGTGATTATTTGGAGGGGAAAAGGCACTCTGGCTTTATGAATTTTTGGCATTTTATGCATTGATTACATCTCATCTGTATGGGCTTATCTACTTTTGATCTTTGAGACTACTGACTTTTGAGTGGGGCTTGTGTGTGACCTTTGCTGTTGTTGCTGGAGTTGCTTTCTGCTTTTTCTTTTATTTTTATCAGTCAGGCCCCTCTTCCATAGGGCTGCTGAGGTTTGCTGGGCATCCATTCCAGACCCTATTCACCTGGGTCCCTTCCACGCCTGGAGGTATCACCAGTGGAGTCTGCAAAATAGCAAAGATGGTAGTCTGCTCCTTTTCTGGGAGCTCCATTCCAGAGGAGCACTGACCTGATGCCAGCCTGAAGACTCCTGTATGAGGTATCTGCAGACCCCTGTTGGGAGGTCTCATCCAGTCAAGAGGAATGGGATCAGGGACTTGCTTAAAGAAGCAGTCTGGGCTGGGAGCAGTGGCTCACGCCTGTAATCCCAACACTTTGGGAGGCTGAGGCAGGCGGATCAAGAGGTCAGGAGATCAAGACCATCCTGGCTAACATGGTGAAACCCCGTCTCTACTAAAAATACAAAAAAAAAAAAAATTAGCCAGGTGTGGTGGCAGGCGCTTGTGGTCCCAGCTACTCAGGAGGCTGAGGCAGGAGAATGGCATAAACCCAGGAGGCGGAAGTTGCAGTAAGCCGAGATCGCGCCACTGCACTCCATGCACTCCAGCCTGGGCGACAGAGCGAGACTCCGTCTCAAAAAAAAAAAAAAAAAAAAAAAAAAAAAAGAAGCAGTTTGGTTGCCCCTTGGGATAGCAGGTGTGCTGTGCTGTGGGTAAGCCCCTTGTCCAGACTTCCAGACTGCCTGGACTCTCCAGAGCCAGCAAGCAGGAAAGACTAAGTCAATTGAACTGCAGAGACCATGTTCACCCCTCCTGCTAGGGGCTCCATTCCAGGGAGATCAGAGTTCTGTCCGTAAAATCCTGGCTGGAATTGCTGAAATTCTTGTAGGGACACTTCCTGGAGGAGGAATAAATCAGGGTCTCACTTAAAGAAGCAGTCTGGCCATGATCTGCCACAGCCACTGTGCTGCACTGTGGGGAATTGCTCCCAGTCCAAACTGCCCACTCTCAGCACTAGCAAGGGAAAACGGCTTACTGGGGCCACAGTGATGGTGGCCACCCCTCTCCCGGGGGAACTCAGTTGTCTCAGGTAATCTCCAGTCAGCTGCTGATGGCTGGCAGAGATTCCAAGTCAGTGGGTCTTAGCTTGTGAGGTTCTGTGGGAGTGGGCAGCTGAATGGCATAGCTTGTCTCCCTAGTTTCAGCCGCCTTCCTACAGGAATGGATGAAACTCCTGCCTCACCAGAATTCGCTGAGCCAGAGTATGCAAAAGCTCCTGTGTCTCAGTGCCTGACCAGGTGACTGCTGACCCGAATGGCCACTGAGTCTGCACAGCTGTGTGCTTGGGACCCAAGGCCCTGGTGGTGTGGGCTCAGGAGGAGATCTGCTGATCCATGAGTTGCAAAGATCCGTGAGATAAAAAAGTGATTTCCCAGGTGGGGTGGCACAATCACTCACTGCCACCCTTGGCTGGGGGTGGGAGCTCCCCTTGCTCTTTGCCACTCCCAAGTGGGCCATTGCTTCACCCTTCTTTTCCTCATTCTCCATGGGTCACACCAATCACCTAGACATTCCCAATGTGAGAACCTGGATACCCCAGTTGAAGGTGCGGCATTTACTTGCCATTTTCATTCTTCTCAGTGAGAGCCGCAGACTGCAGCTGCTTCTAATTGACCACCTTGGGCCAGGATCTTTGGTTTTCTGTAGTTTGAATATGATGTGTTTAGATGTAGATTTTCTGACATTTATCCAATTTGGTGTTCTTTGGGCTTCTTGAATCTGAAATTTGGTGTCTTTTAGCAGTTCGGAAGGTTTATTGCCATTCTGCTGCCAATATTTTTTTCTACTGTATTTTTGTTATGCTTCTAATTGTTTAATTATCTATATGTTGTGTCATCTGAAATTATCTGATTATTCTTGAGTGTTCCGTCCTGTTTTATCATTTTACTTTTTTTTTCTCCTTGCCGTTTGGGAAGTTTCTATTGACCCATTTTAAATCTCACTGATTCTTTCCTTGGTTTTGTTGAGTCTACTGATCAGCCCATTAATACCATTCTTTATTTCTATTATAGCATTTTGGATTTCTAGCATTTTATTTTGATCTTTTCTTAGAAGTTTTATTCTCTCTGCTTACATTTTCAACCATTCTTCATGTTGTCTATATATTCCTTCAGTGCTCTTAACATAGTAATCATAGTGATTTTCAATTGCTTTTCTAGTAAATCTATATTTATGTCACACGTCATATTTGGGTCTTGTTATGATGTTTGGTTTGTTTCTTCAGATTGTGTTTTTTTTTTCTTGCCTTTTAATGTGCCTTGTAATTTTTCTTTGAAAGTCAGACATGTTACATAGGAAAAAAAATCATTAAATAGTTCTTTATCATGAGTATTTATGTTAATCTAGCTGTGAGTTAAACACGGGTTTAATGTTTGTTATGGTTATAAATATCAAAGGCTTCAAATTCTTCTAGAGTCCTTATATCTGTGTTTCCTCTTCACATTGCAATTCTGTAACTACTCTTCATTAGAGAGAGTCTATGACTTGCATCTTCTTCTCTTCTTCTACTAATTCACTATTATTATGGTGGAACCCTGTTGTGGTAGTGGTAAGGTGTGGCAGAAAGATGTTTTAAAATCTTCCAATTATATCTAATTTTTAGTGGCCTTTTGTCTTTAACCTGTGACTTGCAAACATGTTTTATCTGAAACAGCTTCCTCTTCCTTTGGCGAGAAAGAAAGATTGGGGGTGGGGTGGGAAATAGTGTGAGAGGAGTGCCTTTATCCTATGGCTCTGAGGAAAGACCATAGTAAAGACTTTCCCTGGGATAGTAGGTCTTTGCTATGTTAAGGCTATACATGTATTTCACAATAATTACTCTTCTCACCTTGCTAGAGCTACAAGGGAATTTTTTCCAGATTGTCACTGTGAGAACTTGATAGAGCTTCAGGAAGCAAAATCTATGAAAGTATTGAATACCCTAAGACTGCAGTCCCTAGCAGTTTCTTTCTTTTTTTTTTTTTTTTTCTGAGACGGAGTCTCACTCTGTTGCCCAGGCTGGAGTGCAGTGGCGCCATCTCGGCTCACTGCAAGCTCCGCCTCCCGGGTTCACGCCATTCTCCTGCCTCAGCCTCCCGAGTAGCTGGGACTACAGGCGCCCGCCACCGCGCCCGGCTAATTTTTTGTATTTTTAGCAGAGACGGGGTTTCACCGTGTTAGCCAGTATGGTCTCGATCTCCTGACCTCGTGATCCGCCCGCCTCAGCCTCCCAAAGTGCTGGGATTACAGGCGTGAGCCACTGCGCCCGGCCCCAGTTTCTTACTCTCATGTTTTTCCACACTCAGCTTCCAGCAATGCGTCTAAGTGACCATTTATGTGTCTTTACCCATTTATCACTCCTGTTTATCACTTCTGCTTCAGGTAGGCTCATCTGAGCCATGATTCTATGTATTCTCCTTTATCTCCAGATTTCAGAGAAGTGGTTTGCTCTGCAAAGTAAGTTCTCTTGTGAGTCCAAAAAAGTATCATTAATTTTCAGTTCGTCCAGGTTTTTCTTGAGTTAAAGTGATGACTTCCAAACACTTCAATGTCAATCTTGAAGCCTGAAATGGTTTAACGAGATTTTTGCTACAAATGCTTAGAGAGTTTGGGTATGATATTGTGAGGGCATGTCACTTACACAAACTGTTGAATGTCTCAAGAATGGAGAGACAATTTTCTATCCGTTGGGTTCTTTGAAAAACAGGGCACGGGCCTCACAGTGCTAGTTTATTAGAGAGTAACACTTGCCTAGGTAAAAAGAGGAAGGAGGCATAATTTGTTAGAAAAAGGCTTCAGAACAGAATGCAGAAATGAAACCAGTGAAAGAAAGGTGGGAATGAGTTGGCATGTAGTACCACAGATGATGAAGAATACCTGAAAACGTCTTAGTCAACTAAACAGTTTTACAGCAATGATTGTCCATTAAATAAATCCTACAATGGGAAGAGATAGACAGGTGGTAGTCCTGAGGGCTTTCAGGTAAGTTTATAGTCATAGTTCTAAAGCTGAAGCAGATCCTGAAGACATTGCATCTGGAAGCTCTTGGCTAAGTATACTTTTTTTTTTGTTTTGCAGCTGAACAGCATACTCTTCCTTGAATGCAGGTATGAGCAAAATACTTTCATGGTTGTCACAGCTGTCTATTAGGAACATATGTGCAGATATGCCTAGATTAGAGGCGGGTCTGGCTCCTGGTTTTTTTTTTTTTTTTTTTTTTTTTTTTATCAAGCTCCCAGTCTTTCTACATTAGTCTGTTTTTGTGTTGCTATAAATACATACCAGAGATTGGGTAATTTGTAAAGAATAGAAATTTATTTCTCACGTTCTGAAGGCTGGGAAGTCTAAGATCAAGGTGCCAGCAGGTTTATTGTCTGATGAAGATTCAGTCTTGGCTTCCAGGATGGTGCCTTAGGTGACAGGTGTCCTCCAGAGGGGAGGAACACTGTGTCCTCACACAGAAAAAGGGAGAAGGGCAAAAAGGGGCAAACTCTTCATCAATCCCTTTTATTAACCTAAGCACACCTAATCTCATTCACGAGAACTTTAGCTTCATGACTCGATCACTTCCCAACGTTCTTACTTCCCAATACCGTTGCACTGAGAATTAAATTTCAATATGAACTCTGGAAGGAACACACACATTCAAACCATAACACTATGCAATTCTGATTCTATAACTATAATGATCATGTTTCGTTAGTCACTTTTCATGGGAAAAGTCATTAGCAAACAAAAACTAAGAATTCAAATGTGTGGCCAATAATGATCACATGCATCTCACTTATATAGTACTAGGTATTCATTCTCCTTATATACACACACTCATGATTTGTGTCTTATTTTACTAAGTTTTGCTAATAACATTAACATCATAGAAAAATGGCTACACATAGGAAGTTTTAAATACCAGACATGTAAATATTGCATTAAGCAATTCATCTTATAATGAAAAATGTCTAGGCTGATGCTATATGTTTTACTTAAATACATACTTGCTGTACTTCTTTATTAAGAATCTAAGACTTCTCTGTATCCTGAGTTATTATTATTCATGTAATAGCAGAGAACAGGTAAGAAACTACAAATGTGCATAGACTGTTTTTTATCTCTTTGTTTTAATTATATCAGGAGTATATCATCCAATAAAATATGATATTAGTTAAGAGAAAGCAATGAACATGTAGCTTAAAAACCACTTTCTATAGTGCTTTTATGTTGAATAAATATACTGAATTTCTCCCCAATAATTTAAAAGTAATTTATCCTCTCTTTTCTTTTAAATTAGTTCCATGTTTAAAATGACAAACAGAAGTTAAAACCCTTACATTGGTCCTAACTCATTTTACTAAAGTTCTAATCTACTCATATCAGATTTTTTATGTTTCAGCTCTAATAATAAAATGTTTGCCTTTTTAAAAGTTCTGCTTATTTTGGCATTGAAATTGTGCTTTGAGGGATTAGCATCAATAAGAATTACCATGGAGAAGTCTTTGTTTGCTTGTTTGTTTCTTGGAGCAGCATTCTAGGGAAATGAAGAACAAAAAGTAGCTTTAAGGAACAGTTTTGATTTCTAAATAACTATAATGCTTAATTTGTAATTTATTAATGGATATACAAGAGAGACATGGCAAAATAGTCTCTCATAATAAAAGCTTGAGCAACCTATTATGTGATAGAAGTAATCATACTTAAAATGTTCAATGTTTTGTTAATAACTGATCAATCTACTATGAATATTATTATTCTACAAAAGCAAAAGTGATGGCCACTTATCACAGTCATTTCTGACAAGGGCATTATCACGCAATGTCTAGACAGGTAAATTGCCATAAGGTACATTTTCAAAATGAAAAGGAGCCTTAGACTCCACGGGGCCGTAACAAGAAATGACCTCCCTCCCAACAAAAACTGTACACTCTTCATCAGCCAACCTGATTAAAATAATAAACATTAAAGGTCCTTAATTTTTTAACCCTTTATTTTTTTTTGAAAGGACAAAATTATAATTTGATTTCAGAAATTTCATTCTGTTCCATTTTCAATACCTCATCCTGAACTGGTACTATTCTGATGCATTCTGTAGGGTTCCTTATAAGATCACCAGAAACTGAGCCCAGGGGTTCACTGCAGGACCAACTCATTCACACCTCTTTTCTTCCTCATCTCACTCTCTCCAGTTCTTCTCTTCACTTCCTGAAGTCACCTCCAAATCAACTACCTGCTCTCAAACCCCGGCCTTAGGGTCTGTTTTCGGCAAAGCCCAACTAATAAAAAGAAGATTGCCATGATTATTCAATATTTTAAACATACCCAAATAGAAATATTATATAGAACATTCAATAACACTTTTCTAAAACTCAATGGATGTGTTTTTGGCAGAGAGGTAATAATTGCTTCATATGCATAGATGAAAGTCTTCCTAGAGAGAGAGACAATGAGAAGAAAAAATAGCCAAGGGTTTGGCTTTGATTAAATGAAACATATCAAGGTAGATAGAAGAGGATGAGATGGCAGCAGATGCTGAAGACACAAGGGAAATTAATGGAGGGACTCCAAATGAGAAAACTTTAATGAAACATATTTAAGAGTTCCCAGTAGTTAAATATATTAATGCCTAAGAATTCTCTATTATATTTGAGATATGAAATTACTTTTGCTAGAATGATGGGCAGAAGCCACATAAAATTGGTTTAATGGAAGATAAAAACAATGGAGAACTATCTTGTCAATAACTGATCTATGAGTAGAGAACATGTTAATTCCATAAACAACCTACTTCGATGGAAAATTCAAAGACTCTATTCACTTATTCAATTCAAAAGAATCTATATGCTCTTATTTTGATCCTCAGATACTAACCACACAAAGTATTTGGAGTATTTATTTTTTTGCTATTTATGTTTAAATGTATACATTTAATGAATATTTTAAGCTGAAAAGATAAATACAATAACTTTAAGTTTTACTACAAAAACTTGCCATATGATTAAGTAAACATGGAACAAATATAAAAAGTAGAACATCTTTTTTGAAGCTGACTTTTATCTTAGGCAAGATATGCAGTAAACTCAAGTGGGCATGTACAAGCTTGTGCCTAAAACTGATATATATATATCATAATATTAAAACCTTTTATTTGGAGAAAAAGTGCATTGAAATAAAGTAAGTATTTCCAATATTTTTTTTTTAACAGGCAGTGATATGATCACAGCTCACTGCAACCTCGAACTCTCGAAGTCCTAGACTCGAGTGGTCCTTCCGCTTCAGCCTCCCAAGTAGCTGGGGCTATAGGTGCGTGTCACCATGCCTGGCTATTTTTTTAAATTATTATTACTTTTAGTAGATATAGGGTCTTGCTATGTTCCTCAAGCTGGTCTTGAACTCCTGGGCTCCAGTAATCTTCTCACCTTGGCCTCTCAAAGTGCTGGGATTACAAGCATGATCTACTATGCCTGGCTCTAATAATAATTTTTTTAACTCCCCAATGACATATTGAGAATAAAAGGTATAGTGCCACTGTTGAGAACACAATTTCTAAAGTTGGTCTGCCTGGATTTGAATCCTGTGTTCCACTCTTTCCTCTCTTTGTGATCTCAGGCCATTTATTTTATCTGCCTATGCCATAATTTCTTACTCTGAAAAAAAGGTAGAATTATAAAAGTTTTTTCATAGAATTACCAGGAGATCAAGTCAGCTTATCCATGTAAACACTTAAAACATAACTGATATGTTGTAAATACTCAGTTAATATTATTTTATTAAGTGTTTATTATACATACAATTATATAATATGTGTATTGCAACATTATCCATTATCTTTTTAAATATCTCTTTGACCTACTGAGTTACTACAGTTTAGGAGCTTTAAGGGAATCAGTAATGAACCTAGCTTAACAAAAAAGAATCAATTGTAATTCTTAGTTTCTTACCTTGTATACTGTATTTGTAGCCAAGAAGTCAATAGATTTTTCTCCTCTGTCTGAGAGATCAGTTACCAAATTTATTAATACAAAGGAATTTTGAAGACACTCATGAGCAAGGGCATGAAAAAGTACGCGAATACATATCTTAATTAATTTGTTCATGTGGCATTCTGCCTTTATTCTCTTTGAAAACAGATACTAGGGAAATTAGTAATATATCTTCTCTCTTTATTCTTTCATCTTACAAATATTTATGAAAGATTCAAAATTTAAGACAATTACTTTAACAAGTAAAGAAAATATATTCCTGGAGGATATCAGACAATGATAGATTTGCATTTGTAGTTCAATAAAATATTAAAGGTGGGAAAGGACAGAGAAATGATCTGATATCTGATGTTATATGCTGTTTCAATTGTCAGATTTGGCTCTTTCCTTCTCCGTTTGCATACCTCCATCTACCTCTACACATCTGCCATTCAACTCCATGTGGCCTAACCTTTTTCATCATGTCACATGGAGTCAATATTCGGAGACATCACTGAATTTTGACATATCCTATGATAAGTATTTGTATTATTTCAATTCCACAATGCCGCTTCAAGGTGGTGTAGCTGTTCTAGTTTTACAGACAGAGGTAAATACATTACACATAAATAAGAGACATATTAGTCAAAATTCAAATGCATGATTTTCCCCCAAGCATGTATTTTTCTGATATACTAGAATATATTATTTCTACTGAATGCTTTCAATATTATTCTGTGAAATGATAGTGAATTGGACACATTCTAATTCTAATATGGGGAATCATAACTCAAGCTGTAGGAACTGACACTAAAGATAGTGACCAATGTGGCTTAATTTGCTTTTTAACAGTAGGCAAAGCCTTATATTAGAGAAATGAATATTAGATTGTTAGAATTTCTAGGATTTTGGCATATGGGTGAGAAGTTAAAGAGACTAAGAAACAACCCAGTCAAAAATCTAGCTTTGGTGTGGGGATTATAAATGATTATCCAGGATGGACCATGTTGTCAACTAATAAGGAAGCTTTTATTGAAAAACAGCAATTCAGGTGTCCACCAAATACGTTTTGAAGCAAGAATTGAAAGTAAAGATAAAATAAAAGATTGAAACTGCTTCTTTCTTTTCTAATGCTGTGTGTACCTATTTTCAGAGTTATTCCTCTATAGAGAATTTCCTGTCTCTAGTTCAGTCCTTGAATAAGGGTCCTATCTAACTGAATGTCCATATAAACATAGGAAAATTTTATTTTACATTCTAGTTATATATTTGAAACTCAGTGATACATTATTAGGATTCAAGATTACATTAAAAGTTATTAATTTTAATTGAAATTATATCTAAGTACTTGGTATTCATTGGTATTGAAATTTACATTAAAAGTCCAAGTCATCTAACTCCAGAATGCAGAGCAATTTATTGGATTTTGGAATCTCTACTGTGCCTCTTTCAATGCCCTGCAACCATTCTCATTTTAATATTTTTCTCACGTTTTACCTTTTCCAAAATCACTCTTTTTTCTTTTTCTATAATAATGTTCTAAATTAAAATGTGAAAGTCATGTGATCTAATACACTGTACTAATAAAAAGAAAAGTTTGACCTTAGTTATACAGCACATATATTCACTGGTAGTTTGCACTACTGGCTATACTCATTTATAAAACAGACTATTCAAATGTAGAAGTGGGAAAATTATATTCATAACTAAGCTTATGGTATCTTTCAGGTAGGCTAACAGCACTTTCTTAATTGGGAAAGTGACAGAATCTTAAATATATTTAAATAATTTGCAAAAATTCTTTGAGCTTAAGAGATGAGAATATGCAAAAATATGAACAAGTAGTTTTTCAATGAATAATAAACAGATATATGTTTGCAAATAAACAGGATCAACATGGGTGAGCCTAAAATGTAGAGTTTTATATGCAGAGAGGGTTTCCCAGGAGAAACTAAAATAACGATCCAATTAAGCTGTTACTGTATGTAAATGAGAAATTGCATGTAAGAACCATAATAAGGAAGGAATCCAAAAGCAAAATAATGTATATTTTATTTTATTTCAAACAAGGCAAATGGTAACTTGTCAAAGGAGTAGGTAAGCTTCAGGTGATCGGGAGCTGAAGGGAATCGGTTTGTAAAATATATTTGATGATGGATGGGTTTTGAGTGTTAGCACAAAGCCATATCATGACTTCACAATTAAAAATTCATTAGAACTTGTGAGGCCAGGATAACATTTAGTAAATAGAAGCAGCATGTGAGAAATTTGAATGAGTATAAGGACTTAATAGAATAATCAGTGCTCAAACTAGGACACCTCAAAATAACAATTCATAAATATTCATTCTCTAATAGTCTTACAACTAACTGAATAACAGAACTATAGATTTTGCTCCAAATATTATGTTTAGATAAAATAGAAGAGAATTTTCATGCTCAAATGCTACTCCTCTAAAAATACATTTTAGCATTCAAACAACAGGTATGAACTGTTTTAAACTTTCAGATCACCTTATCTACAGCTTATGAAAATATCATATAGAGTTTGGCAGTATCCCATTCAAGGGCTATAAAACCTTTAAGAAAAAAAAATAGTTTTTAACTCTGAGAAAATGAAATGACATTCTTTTGACCAAAACAAAGAATTTTAAAACATCAGATAAATTGTATGCATAAAAATTAATCTCAGTTCAGAGAGTGACACACTCAAAACAGTTTTCTTTGACTCCTGTCCTAATACCTTGAGATAAGAAACTGGAGGCAAGCATGCCAAATAGAGACTTCACCCATAAATTCTTGGTTTGCATAGAATGTTCAAAAACATTTGAATTTGTTGCTTATATTTAACTCTTAGGAAACTTGACATTGAACATGAGTTTCCATTCTCACTTGAAAAAATAGAATAGTTGACACCACTGGCCCCACATTCCATAGAACAGCAATGTGTTATACCTGGGTTATGGATAACCCCTTTTAGAGAGAACAAGTATTCTCCTGTTGGTCCAAAAGCTCATTTCTGTAGTTGATACTACTCTTCTGGAGTGGATCTCTGCTATAGTTCTTCTTTACAGAAGAAATAAAAACACAGCTATTCAACAAAATTAGCAATGATATATTTTATAATACCTGCTCTTATTTAAATAAGCCACTTAGTTAAATTATTCAAAAGTACAAACATGATTTTTAAATTATTAAAAACATTGTGATTCTGAGGTAGGGGGATCACTCAAACTTCTGAAGCCAGAAGTTTGAGACTAGCCTGGGCAACATGGTGAGACCATACTCAAAAATTAAAAAAAAAAAAAAATAGCCAGGTGTGGTGGCTGGAGCTTGTAGTCCCACCTACTTGGGAGGCTAAGGCAGAAGGCTGCCTTAAGTGCAAGAGTTTGAGGCTGCAGTGAGCTAGGATTGTGCCACTGCACTCCAGCATGGTTAACAGACTGAGATCTTGTCTCTAAAATAAATAAATAAATAAACAAATAAAATTATTTAAAATGTTATGTTTAAAATATTTGCCAAAGAACCAAAGCGCCACAAGCAAAAAGAGATTCAAGTGCTGTTATAAATTACTTACATGTTTTAATAAAGACACAGTGCTTTCAAAAGTTTCCAGCCATTAATTTCCGGAACCACTAGTAAAAAATACTCCTTGAACTTTGTAACCTTGTCTCAGAAGACACATTTTTGTGAGTTTATAAAATCAAAGTCTTAGGAAATCATAATGGTTTCTGATTTTAGTAACGATTTTTATCACAAAAAGTTGTAATATGTTACTTTTTCATGAAAAACAACCCTCAGGTGTATGCTATTTAATGATGACTTTTGCAATCTTTTAAACAGTTATCCAGAACTTCTTTATTATAGGTTTTATGTTTATATTTTTTAGGTTTATATTACTTTTATTTCTTTATAAAAGATTTTTTTAAAATGTCTAGCTCACTAAAGATTTTCTTTGTTTTATTTGTCCCTAGAATTCTATATCACTGCTCTCTCACAGGAAAAAAAAAAAAGCAAGCCAAACCTGTGTTCCTAATTACTCAGTAAGATAATCAGCCTACAATTATACAAACATACTTTAATAATTTCTAAGCATCGGTAGTGTAGTAATTTGACTTTAGCTCTTTAGCAGTCGTATTGTAAAAGTCAAATTAACAATCCTTGCCAGCCACTACACTAAATAGGTTATTGACTGTGAGGTTCTTTTTGAAAAGCCATGCAAACCTACAGCTTTTATTAGCTGCTGAGCTACATTAGCTTATATGGTGAGGAAAACAGAAACAAATATAATCACTTTTGTAGGTAAGTTTTACTGTACAGAAAAGGGCTTGATGGATGTAAAAAAAAGTAACTAAAACAGTCTGAAGAAAGTTTGAGAAAAAGTATTTTAAACAAGTACGTTCACTGGGAAATTCTCAAAACAAAACAAAACAGTTTACATCTCCTAAGAAACAGAACTCAAATTAAAATCATAGCAGGCAAATGATGATTCACTAGCTGGTAATTATTTGAACCCTGCTCGTTACTGTGATATAGTGTTTTGTTATTAATAATAAGATCTAAACAGGCAAATTAAATATTTGAACAGTTCATTCCAGACGTCATACAGATTCTGTATTTCATCTGTTAATTCACTCCGTCTATTTGAAGCATCAGGGACTTGAGAACCAAAACACCACCTGTGGTTTCATTTTATTCCTAACACATCCCTCACTTGCAATTTTAAATACTGCATCAAAGGGAGCCTCTTAAGGTGAATGTCCTCATTGTCATTCCAGAAAAATAATATGGTATTATCTCCTAGTGATGTGGTTCACATCCATAATAATGCTAAATCCAACTTTTTCCTTTATTTTTTTCTAAGTCTTAAATGCTTAGCAGGGAGATGGAGTAGGAGCTTCATATCTGATTGGCATACATTCCATTTTGTCGAGAAATGCAATTTAATTAACCATGGGCATTCTTCATTTATGCTTTACATTACATCCAGCTATCTTGCTGAATATTTTCAAGTGTAATCATAATCTACCAGATAATTATCAATGGGCATTTTCTTCAAAATAAAACAAGCTTATCTTTTACTTGAGTAAAATTTAAATCTCTTAAATTCCCAGAGATTTTAAAATGTCCCTTAAAAGGCACAAACAGAACGTTTTTGTATACAGAAAACATTAAGATTAATAAAATAAATACTTTATTTAGAAATATTAAATTTTAAAACGAACTGAAAATAAACAGCTGCAAACTCCATGTCATATTCAGGTTTTTCATGTCTTTTTACAAACTTTAAAATAAGGTTGTGTCCAAAACTGGCTTGAAGGTAAATAAACACCTAAGTAAATTTTTTTAACATTAGCTAGAGTCTGACAAAAATTTTTACATTAATTTGCATTTAAACAGAATCCAAGGTAGAGTTCTAAGATACATGCATTAATTATTATTAACCAGTGAACCTTTAGCTGACCAGCATTTAAAATGCCCAAATGTTATTTGTCTCTTAAGAAAATCATATTAGTAATTTTCTTTCTGAGTTATCTAACCTTCAATTCAATGTCAGATATAGTAGGTCTATTAGGAATTAGAATAGAAATTGAGAGTTCATATTTACATGTCCTTGAGTTCATATATTTATTATTTTAACCGTTTATTGTACTGGAAACAGAAATCTGGTAGGGTTAGAGTTGTGAATCATAGAATATGAAAGCTTGATTAAATTGATAAATGTTAGAAGTATAACAATCTTGAAGTTATTAAATATATGTGAAAATATTAGAGGGTGATACAGAGTATCACAGCATTTAAAAAAATCTTCTCAAATATTCCTTTCAGAATTGCCTGCACTTCTTGAATCAAAGATCTGGTTTCTTAACAGAAACCACAAATTTATATTTTCTTTGAATCAGAATCTCAAGAGGTTGAATTTTTTTTTCTTGGAAATGTAAGAAATATAGAGAAGTTGTAGGGAAAAATAATTTGAAAAATTATTATCTCTGTGAACGGAATCTCTTCATCAAATTATTTTAGAAACTGGTAAAATTTCATCAGAATATTAAGAACACATTTAAAAAAAAGATTTTATTGATTTGAAGGTATGGCCAGCATATCTTCTTCAGCCCTTTTTCAAGAAAATATACCTCATTTTTTGAATAAATCTATTGAAAACATTCAAGGACAGTTGCGACTCACAAATAATACACTTTATATATATGCATAGGCAACCTTTAAAATATTTCCTATAATAAGGCTCTGAATTTTTCATAGCCTTACTATGTATTATTTTTATTACTTAAAAAAGCTGAAGTTTTAAATGTCTTACTTAGTATAAGCATTTAGTAATAATAAATGTGGCAAATAAAATGCTGATTATTTTTAAGAAAAAAAAGACCAAATTTATTCTTTATATATAATAGATATGTCAATCAATCCTGCACAATTGTTAAAAATGATAAAATTGGTTACTGTTCTATGACTTTTTTTTGTTGTTGTTTAAAGTCTAAAACACTAAGAAATAATTCATTGGAAAGGAAATATAGACTAACATCCATGTTAACAATATGCATGCTATGGAAGAGTGCTTCAATAGATATGAAGTACTTCAAATGTTGCTAAGTAATTTTGCTATTTTATCATTTAAAATGTATGTGTCATCAGTGAATGTGTGTGTATATATTCACAAAATTAATTTCTAGGCAAAATAAACAAATATTTGAACTAATAACATTTATGCTTACTTTCTAAGATTATTTTCTAAATAGGTTCCAGTGCACAAAATAATAAAAATTGAGCTTCTGTAAGTTACAATTTAGATGATATATCACATTTATCTTAATACATTGAAACTGTAATTGCAAATAATTGAACTTCCAATACAAAAGTAAATGAAGTTGCTGAACCAAAAGGAAATTAGCATTGATTGCAGTTTGAGTAAACAACAGATTTGGTAGTTCTGATTTATTAAGGTGGCAACTGGTCCTAAACCCATTAACACAGAGATTTAATTAAAGTATTGTGACTTTTATGAACAAAAGCAAGAACAGGAAACTGCCATAAAAGTATGTTTTCATTTTGATAATGAAAATCAATATAAAATTGATAGACTAACATTCTCAAATTAATACGAGGCAACTCAAAGAGATCTAAACATAGAATTAGATTATGATGAACATTTTTTTAAAAAAAACTACAATGAAAGCTATATAGATATTTGTTTAGCTTTCATACCTGGAATTTAATACTTTGAGCAACAGTGCATAGTATCTTGGACAAACACTGCAAAACAGGAATATAATCCACTTACATAGATAATCAACCCTATATTTTCATATAACACTTACCCAGTTAATGCAAAGTGGAAAAAATATATATGTCTGAGGTTACTTAATATTTTTAGCATGAAAGAGTCTATTAAGCTGAACCAAGAAAATTACACCAATCTCCATATTACTTTGTCTAAACACAGCAAAGTTCTGTGGCAGTTGTGTTTCATAGTCCTCTATTAATAAGTCACTCCACTAAAAAGATCATTAGGCAAACAAGAATGCCATCTGCTTTAATTCTATAAGTCAATTCTATTTTATGACTCAAGTGTTTACAAGACAAATCTAGTTCAGATTAATTAGTTTTATAGGTGAGAAATGTACTCGGCCTGTTACTGTATTCCATGATACAATTTTTAATGAATTAATCACTCATTTAAACTTCATTGCCTCCAACCTGAATAAAACCACTGAGGCTGTCACTGAGAGTAATTCTGACTGAATTTACAAGTGACCAGGGCAATCCTTCTTAGAAAGACCTATTTTGAATTATCCAGATTAATGAAACAAAGTGAAGTCAAAAGAAAGAATTAAAGATATTACCCAGTAGTATCCAAGCTACTAAAGACCAATGAGCTATTACTTTTGGCTAGAATTCTATTTGTGCCCATATTTTACTTTAATTATGACTACAATTAACAGTACTTCTGTTGCTATTATATCTATTTGTTCCCACTTTCCTCTTTCTTTTCCGCTTTATTCTCTTCCTCCTCCTGATGCTACTGCTACTCTTCATATTAGTGTTATTGCTGCTGGTAGTATTTTTACTGCTAATGTGTAGTGTAGCAAAAGAATCATGTTTAACATTTCTATTTGAATACAGTGTATTGTCCCTTGGGTTGATTATTATTTGCTGGCAGACCTTTGATTATTTATTGATACTAAACTGGATTATGCTCATTATCTTTATCAAATTTTTGGCAAAATTCTATCATTATATTGGATACATCTATTCCTCTAGGTTTCTATTATGATTTATCCTTTTGTGGCTACCTCTTTACAGGTGTGTGTATTAGATGTGGATATTGTTAGCTTCTCAATTAAGAAGCCTATTTATGGATTTTAATTTATTTAGGCTTATATCATGTGATGGGGTGCAACATGATGATCAAAAATTCGAAAAACTGATCTCTTTTTCTGTGAAAGAAATGTGTTACCCATCACTAAAGCATAACTAAATATTACCTCACGAAATTTTTTAAAAGAAAAATTGTTATAAAAAGAAAAAGTAAGTAATTTCTGCCGAGAATTCTCTCTACTGAGAGTTGTCATATAATGTCCTAAGAGGAGAAACAGTCTAATTGAGAATTCTGTTTTGCATGATTTTGTCTTTTGAGTTAGGGAACATTTTATGAAGGAAACTAATTAAACACAAGCCAAAGACTTTAATAGCCTTCCTCTCATACAATTGTTTTAAAAAAACTATTGATACTATGAAAATATTAATAGTGACAACTTTAAATTTTAGATTACTAATTTTATTGACAATAAGAATGCCAACGAGTAGTTTACATTCCCACCAACGGTGTAAAAGTTTCACCACATCCAAGCCAACATCTATAATTTTATTTATTTATTTATTAAGGCCATTCTTGCAGGAGTAAGATGGTATCACATTGCAGTGTTGATTTGAATTTCCCCGATAATTAATGATGTTGAGCATTTTTTCATATGTTTGTTGGCCATTTGTAAATCTTCTTTTGAGAATTATCTATTCAAGTCTTTAGCCCACTTTTTGATAGGACTGTTTTTTTTTTTTCTGATTTGTTTGAGTTCCTTGTAGATTCTGGATATTAGTCCTTTGTCAGATGTATAGACTGTGAAGATTTTCTCCCAAAATGTGGGTTGTCTGTTTACTCAGCTGGAGCTTTTTAGTTTAATTAAGTCTCTTCTATTATTACTTGTTTTTGTTGCATTTGCTTTTCAGTTCTTGGTCATGAAATCTTTGTCTAAGTGAATGTCTAGAAGGGCTTTTCCAATATTATCTTCTAGAATTTTTATGTTTTCAGGTCTTAGATTTAAGTCTTTGGTTCATCTTGAAGTGAGTTTTGTATAAGGTACCACTATGGAAAACAGTACAGAGATTCCTTAAAGAACTAATAGATCTACCATTTGACTCAGCAATCCCACCAATGGATATTTACTCAGAGGAAAAAAAGTCTTTCTACAAAAAAGACACTTGCATACCCATGTTTATAGTACCACAATTCGCAATTGCAAAAATATGGAAACAGCCCAACAGCCCAAACACCGATCATTTAATGAGTGGATAAAGATAACGCTATATATGAGATATATATATATAACATATATACATATATATAGCATATATATATAGCATATCTATACACACACACACACACGCACACACACACACACACACACACCATGGAATACTACTCAGCCATAAAAAGGAATAAAAAGGAATGAAATGATGGCATTCACAGCAACCTGCATGGAATTGGAGACCATATTCTAAATAAAGTAACTCAGGAATGGAAAACCAAATATTGTATGTTCTCACTCATAAGTGAGAGCTAAGCTATGAGGATGCAAAGGCATAAAAATGATACAATAGACTATGAGGACTCAGATGAAAGAGTGGGAGGGAGAGGAGGGGTAAAAGACTACAAATTGGATACAGCATTCACTGCTCGGGTGATGGGTGAACCAAAATCTCAGAAATCGCCACTAAAGAACTTATTCATGTAACCGAACACCACCTGTTCTCCCAAAACCTGTTGAAATAATGGTAATAAAAAGAAGGGAGAGGGAAGGAGGGCTGGTGCCAGAAGAAAGTTGGCTGGGGAATAAAGGATATTAGAAGCTGGCTGGTTAAAAACAAAATTGAGAGACTCTAATAAAAGTTTGAATTTATTGTGAAAAAAATTAGGTTATTAATTACCTTTGTTGTGAGGCCGAGGAAGGATACAGGCAGTGCTCAGAAATAGATATAATTATTGGAAATATTTTAATAAGTGGAATGGATGGCAAGTTTCTGAGTATTTGTGATATTTAAGTGTAAAAAAGCAACAACATAAAATAAATAAAAGAAAAGATCATGAAAAGGAATGCCAGTGATGAAATCAATGCTGCTTTCAAATCTCTAAAATATTTGGCAAAAAATATTTTGGGAATATTTGGCATCAAATCTATATTCGCACAATGGCTAGAGTAATCTCTAAGAATATTAATTAGGTTGCTTCACTTGCTGCTTAAAACATGACATCACACTGTAATACTGAGATGACTCAGTTGTCTATGACTGAAAAAATGTACAAATCCTAACTGTCAAACTTTATCTAATATTGCCCTCTCCTATTCTTTCTACATTTTGTCCTAGCTTACTTTTGTTTCGTGAATATGCTCGCATTTTCCTAACTCAAGCAAGTTACATATAGTATGCTTTCTCTCTGGGAAGCCCCCTCCTTCTTTCTTCATAGAGCTTGATCCATTTTTTTTCTCTAGTTTTCACTCTCAATTTATGTGTCAATTTCTTTGAAGAGATTCTCACTGTTTGATCTAGATAAAAGAGCACCTTTCCCCTTTTATTCTGTCTTAAATCCTACTATTGTTTTCTTTGAGCACTTAATGCAGTTAAGTGGCTTTTTTGTTTCATTTGTTTTCTGATTCTTGTTAATTTTGGGTATTTTTTTTTGGTTTTTGTTTATCTTAGTTTTACTTATTTATGCCTTACTAGTTTGCTTCATGTCTGCAAGAACTATGTGTGCTTTTTTGTTTCTGTATTCTTGTTATTAGTACAGTGTCTTCGGTATCATAGGCATTCAATAAATCCTTGTGAAATGAATGATTGAATGTATGCCTTAATTGATTAATAGTTTGAGGAGCAGCAACCCTGAGGCAGCTTTCTAGCAATTAATCCTGAAAGCAGATATCTAATGTACTATGTGTTTTTCTGGTTCACATCCAGCCCTCAGAGTCTTCTTTGTCCTTCAGAGATCTTATTTAAAAAGAATGTTTGGGGTTTCTGTTAATCATGAGATTATACAATAAACCAAATATAGTAAAATAAGCTACAAATTTGGGATAAAGAAAAATAGTATAAACTGTAGCTGATAGCACCATATCCAAAATCAATCATGAAGAGAGATATACACAAGTACATTTAAAAACACTTGAATTTCCCACTGTAGATGCATGAAATATCAAAGTGTGACTACTTAATATTAATAGAAACCACAGATTTCTGCCTCTGCTCAAGAAAAAGTAGGTGGCTTTGTGCATAGTAGAAAGTATGATGATGAGCAGGTAGCAATTGTTTGCTTTACCTTGGTGTTTCAGGGTTTTTGTGTTGTGCTTTTCTGTTGTTGTCTTTTGTTTTTTAAGTCATGAAATTAAGGATGTTTTATGTACATTTTGAGACACAAGAACATATCAAAGTGTTCTATTTTCAAGGAGTTAGAGATATGTAATAAAAGAATCATAATGAGATGTTCAGGACATATTTATTTTGATGACGATAGTCTCCAACTTGGTTAGATAACCAAATGGAAAATCACTGTATGCCCGAGAAGTTACAAATCTATGATATGTAAAGGATATGTAAGCCTCATGGATTGAGAAATAAAGGAATAAAAAATGTGGGTTTTGGCTGAAATAGACAGAGAATAATTGTCACAAAAAATGTCAGGGCTAGTGGTAGGACACCATATTGGAAAAATACTCCAAATGTCAACACATAAGTTGGAGAGGAAAAGATTTTTTTTTTCATATTATTAAGTAAAAATAATACTACAGGGATAATAAAATGTATTATAGGCATGTGAAATCTTTGCTTTTTTATTTAATGTGGAGTACATATTATATGAGAAAACAAAGCCATATATTTTTCATATGTCTGTTAAGAGAAATTTCCCACAAATAAGGCAATTTGGGAATGCTTTTGAGGAAATGATACCTGCATTAATTTCCCATTGCTGCTGTAACTCATTACTACAAATTCAGTGGCTTAACACAACATAAATGTATAATCTTATAGTTCTGGTGGTAAGAAGCCTTAAAAATGAGTCTGCAGGTCTGCATTCCTCTACAGGAGGATCTAGGGGAGAATTTGTTTCCTTACCTTTTCTAACTTCTAGAGGTTTCCTTCTTTCTTTGCTTTGTGGTCCCTGCCTCCTCCTTCAAAACCAGCGATTTTGAACATAACATCTTTTCTTCCCAGTGACATCTGCTTCTGTTCTTTTATCTGTTCTCTCTGACTGTTAGTAAGGATCCTTGTTGTTAAGTTAACTTAAATGTGACTTGAGTCTGCTTCTATACCTTAAGTCCCTATGTAGCAAACTGCAACATAACTCAGGAGTATAATAACAGCTGATTTCAGCCAATAATTATTAGTCATATTTCAGGCAATTACGAGCAGCCAACTCAAAACATCATGCCCAAATAAGGCAAAAGCCTAGCTGATGCCAATCAGGTGATTATTCCACTTTTCTTCTATAAAAGCTTGCTTGCAGAGCACTGAACCTCCACTGGTTTAACGTGCTGTTCAATTTATGAATGCCTCTGTATTAGTCTGTTCTTGCAGGGGTACAAAGAAATACCTGAGGATGGGTAATTCATAAAGAAAAGAGGTTAAATTGGCTCATGGTTCTGTAGGCTTTACAGAAAGCATGGTGCTAGCATCTGCTTCTGGTGAGGACTCCAGGAAGCTCACAATTATGGCAAAAGACAAAGGGGGATAAAGAGTCTTACATGATGAGAGAAGGAGCAAGGAGGTGGGGGAGAGCCACACATTTTTTTTTCCTTTGTGGACTTTTTTTTACTTTATTTTATTCTTATAATTTTTTTAACTTTAAGTTCCAGGGTACAAGTGCCTAACGTGTAGCCTTGATACATAGGTATGTGTTTGCAGGGTGCATGCAGGGCTTAAAGCCACACACTTTTAAAGAACCAGATCTCAGGAGAACTCACTTGTCACCAAAGGTCTGGCACTAAGCCATTCATGCGGATGCATCCCCATGATCCAATCACCTACCACAAGGCTTCACCTGCAACATTGGGAATCACCTTTCAACATGAGATTTAGAGGGAACGAATATCCAAACCATAGCAGCTTGTTTGCCCAAATAAACTCTACTAAATTGAATTTATGTAACATTTTTCTTATAACATTGTGATTAAATGAGGTCAATTTGGCTAACCCAGGATAATCTCCCTATCACAAAATTCTTCATTTTATCATGTAAGGTGATATATTCACAGATTATGGAAATCAGAACATGGACATCCTTGGGGGGATGCTGCTCAGCATACCGTAATATTTCAGTTAAAATTGGAAGGGAAAGAAGGAGCCAGTCACATGAAAACTGGAAAGGATCCTGTCTTACTCTGGAATCCCTAGGAAGCAGATCCTCAGTGAAAGACTTGATGGCAGCCGGCTATTTTGGGAAGTGATATGAGAAACTAAAAGTGAGAATATAAAATGATATTTGAGATGATGATGAAAGAATAATCGATAAAGAGTGGGCTAATAAACAAATTATTAATATGAGCAACTGGTTCAGTCCTACTGGGAATTCTTTGTGCAGCACATCTCAGAATTTTACTGGTGGAATATGGAGAGTCTGGGCCTAGCATAATCCTGTGTATACAGGTTAATCAAGCTCCCAAGTTTCTCCAGAGAGCTATTAGGCAGTCCAGAAGTGATGCAAGAAGGAGAGAGAGAGGCAAGGATGTTTGACATGGGAGGCTGTTGGTTCTCCAGAGCTGCACTGTGGAATCACAGGAAGTTGACTGGATATATTTTAAAAAACAACAATAGTATTTGTTATAGATTGCAACAATATTAAACAATTATGAGACACACCCAAAACATTCAAAGGTCTTATGATATGATATAGTACAAGAAAAATGTATTGTGTAATTACAGAACAATAAAGCATTATAGTGCATTATGTGATTTGGAGCAAATATGCAGTATTGGAGAAAACAAAAACAAAAACAAAAAACAGAATCTACCAGAGCAGTAAGTTTAGTATGAAATAGTCAGTTAATGCTATATTGTAGGTTGACTTATAGACCTGTATGACTTGTAAAAAGAATTTCGATAGTCCAAAGAAGAAATATTTGTTAAGGTAGAATAAACAGCTTAAAGCAATTTTTAAAAAAGTATTATTATAGGCTGGGCATGGTGGCTCACGCCTGTAATCCCAGCACTTTGGGAGGCAGAGGAAGGCGGATCACGAGGTCAAGAGATCGAGACCATCCTGGCCAACATGGTGAAACCCTGTCTCTACTAAAAAATACAAAAATTAGCTGGGCATGGTGACGTGTGCCTGTAGTCACAGCTACTCACTACTCGGGAGGCTGAGGAAGGAGAATCGCTTGAACCCAGGAGGCGCAGGTGGCAGTGAGCTGAGATCATGCAACTGCACTGAAGCCTGGTGCGAGAGTGAGACTCTGTCTCAAAAAAAAAAAAATAATAATAATTAAAATAAAATAAAATAAATAAAAGGATGATTATATATGTTATAGCATGTTTTGCAGTAAATATGAATTTTCTGGATGGAGAATAATGTTTTGATTTTAAGGGAGAAAGATATGCTAAGTAGCCTGTTAATAATGATTATTTGGTTACCTTATTTAATCATTCAAAAATATTTATTAAATGTCTAACATGTGTTACTCGTTATTTCAGATGCTGGGGTTCTAAGTGTTCTAGCATTGAATGGAACAGTGAAAATAACTAGTCCTCATGCAGTTTCCATACTTGATATGTCTATAACATTTTATTATTAAAAGATAAAATATATTCATATATCATATAAAGTTTATCTTCATACATAAAATTTATAACATAAATAATAAATATATTGAAGGATGAATGACATAATCAAAGCATATAAAATTTTTGTTTTCCACCATCCTTTTAAAATATATTCAGTATGGAGTGTTTTTCTCTCTTAACCAGATAAAACTTCTTCAGATACATAACTTATTTTGTCATTCTCTTAAAGTATTTGAGACTATTTAGATTCTAAATACAGTTCCATTTTTGTATTCAGCATTTCCATCTAATTCAATTGTCGAATTTGACTTTATTCACAGAAATGGCACTTAAGCTTAGACTATGTAAGTGTATCAGCTGGGGACAGGCATTGGCACCTTGTCCCTTTCATAAATAAAGATTTTGACGGTTAGAATCACAGTCATCATCATCATCCCTCTCCCTTTCTCAATACAACTGCTTCTCTCATTTGCTGCTCATTAGCTATAGTTTATGACACTCCCAGAGTCAATCTGATAGGAGAGAGAGGCCAGATGCCATGCGATGAGTACCCCTGCATACACACGTACGTGCACACAACTAACTGGGCACCTCATTCTTCCTCAAAAATAAATAATAATAATTTAGAAGGTTCATTTCCACGTCTTCCATTTTTCCTGTTCAGAAACAACTCCTACAGAATTTTGATGGGACTCTTTCCCTTACGGGTAACTTAGAAAAAAATTTAGTGAGAGAAACTATAGCCCACTCCACTACAGTTATTCTTGAGGCCACAATGTAAATACATCATCTCCCCAAAACTAGGAGATATTAAGTCAAAAGTGTAATAACATTATCAACCTAATAGCAAGATGAATTTATTAAAATAATGTCAGGACTTTGTTTTTAATGACACAATATGATCAGATATTTAGTTGGTACTGATGGCATTTGTTGATATATGTGTAGAAGAGTTTTATATAGTTGGTACTGATGGTATTTGTTGATATATGTGTAGAGGAGTTTTGTATAGTTGGTACTGATGGTATTTGTCTATAGATGTGTAAGGAGGTTTTAAATATTTCCTTTACTCTTTGAAAGTTTGATAATTATAGTCTCTGGAATAAACTTATGTAGGCATATTAACAGGAGAAAAAGCATTCACATTTATTATGAACGTAGGCAAGGGAGCCTCACAAAATACAAGACTCAAAGAAAGGCCAGATGACCGGCATTCTTATAGCATGGGAAGAGGGACTTGGAATCTCTGGAAAGAGGTGGCAACAAATTATGGGAGGGCGACAGGAGGAGATGTATGGCTGAAAAATGTTACCTTGTTATGTAGACAAAATCTCCCAGGTATTAAATGTTATTTCAAGGAAGAACTGTCAAAAGAATAGATACTAGCTTTGGAAAACGTCTATCTGGGAAACATACTGACCTTCAATTACCTTTCCCATGATTTTGTTCATCTTCCCTGGTTGATGAGATTCCATGGAGAGGACAAAAGTGCTCCTTTTGAAGAATCTATCTCTAGACAGATAAGGGAAGTTTTGGAAGATCATCTCCCTGCTCTGCAAGGGAAGAAGATAGGTGAGAGGAAGTCAAGAGAAGGGTGGGCAGATTTTGCTTCTCCTTTGGTTCAAAGCCCTCAATATGTCAAAGTGCCAAACTTTGGGATATTGTTTTCTGAACCCATACACACCCACCAACTGCGTTTCAACCCTTTCAAACTCAGCATATACAAATGTAAACCTAATATTACATATAAACATACTGATGAGTCTTGTCAGAGCACCTGCATAAAGTAATGAATGTGAAGCACTCACATTAAAAAACCAATGTAGTCTCACTGTGGCATATATAATAACTGCATATTTCTGATTGTGCACTTATATCTTGAAATTTTGCGGCCTCAAATTTCACATTAAATAAAATGGCTCAGCCACTGTTATAATACCTTAAAACAAATATATTACTATTCTCTGTAAAGACAAGCACAGTTTATTGTAGATGCCAAACCTTTATTACTTTTCTGGCTAAAGGCAGAAAGACTCAGAGAGTGTATCTAAATTCAATTATACTGAAAATGGAGAGTATATAAAGCAAGTGTGGCAACCCACTGTCTACAGTACCCCAGAGTAACCAAGAGATATTGAAATTACTAGATCATATCAAACCTAAATAATATATATATATACACTAATATATATATATATACACACAAATATATATATATATTTGAAAATCGACATTGAAATGGAAACATGCAACACAGGTAAAGAAGACAAGGGCTTCTTTTTTTTTTTTTTTTTTTTGAGACGGAGTCTTGCTCTGTCGCCCAGGCTGGAGTGCAGTGGCGCTATCTCGGCTCCCTGCAAGCTCCGCCTACGGGGCTCACGCCATTCTCTTGCCTCAGCCTCCCGAGTAGCTGGGACTACAGGCGCCCGCCACCACGCCTGGCTAATTTTTTTTTGTATTTTTAGTAGATTCGGGGTTTCGCCGTGTTAGCCAGGATGGTCTCGATCTCCTGACCTCATGATCTGCCCGCCTCAGCCTCCCAAAGTGTTGGGATTACAGGCGTGAGCCACTGCGCCCGGCCTAAAGAAAAAATGAGGATGGTGACTTTGTTTTCTATTGCTTCTAACATAATACCAGGAAGCAGGTAATTTATAAAGAAAATGAATTGATTTCTTTCCGTTGTGGAGGCTAAGCAGTCCAAGGTCAGGGAGGGGCCACATCTGATGATAGCTATCTTGCTACTGGAGACTCTGGGTGCCCTGAGTTGGTGCAGGGTATTAGATGGTGAGATGGCTGAGCGAGTTTGCTCAGGTCCCTCTTTCTCAGCTTATAAACCCCCAGTCCTGCTCTCATGATAATCCATTAATACATTAATCTCTTAATTCATAGATGAATGAATCCATTCGTGAAGGCAACCTCCAGATGACTTAATCAACTCCTAAAGGCTCTAGCTATTCAATACTGCTACATTGGGAATTAAATTTCACCATGAGTTCTGGAGGGAACTTATATTTAAACCATAGCAGTTACATAAGTTGTTTTGACACAAATATCTTTGGCTACCACAATCAATAACAAGGGTGTGTTACTTCGAAGTTTGACATTCAGTTGCTGGGCAAAAGTCTTCCCAGAAGGTTTTTTTTTTTTTTTTTTTTTGTAAGGTTGTGGTGGACTTTGTGCAAGGTTGTGTTTTTCACTGAGTTTTTATGATAGTTCTCTTATCAGGTATGTGTGCATGAGAACCGTCTCTCCATGGCATTTTCTGGTTCCATTTGTCATGGTGTGAAACACAGGTGACTCTATTTTGTTTCTGACAGCTTTCACAGTCACAGGGTTTACCCACGTAGACAGAAAGGGAATGACCTAAAATGGAGCTTGGCTCCCAAATGATTTTCCTCAATCTCACCATTTGTTTCCAGAATAAGGAAAAAAAAAAAAAAAAAGGTATGGTTTTGCCAAAGGAAAGAAAGCTCCTTTCTTCGCTCAACTAATACTAATTGCTCTCCCTGTTTTCCTCTCTTTCTGATCTTATCAGAGGCAGACAAAAACTAATTTAAGAAATCTTGTGCCAGGACCTACTCATACTCTAGGCAGAGGTTCTTAAAGTTCACTGCACAATAAAATCTATTAGTGCCGTACTAAATTATACCAATTATCCGCCCTTACTCCTCCTTGTTAAATCTTCTGAGGTGGATTTCCAGCAAAAGTAATTTTTTTATTGATAAAAAATAATTGTACTTATTTATGGGATAACTGCGATCTTTGATACATGTATACAATGTGTAATGGTCAAATCAGGGTACTTAGGGTGTTCATCATCTCAAACATTTACCATTTTATGTGTTGGAAATATTTCAAATCTTCCTTTCTAGCTATTTTGAAATATGCATTACAATATTGTTAACACTAATTACTCTACTGTGCTATTGAACACTAGAACTTACTTTTTCTATGTAATCCAGCTCTCTTTAGACCTCAAAATCTTCCAAGCCACTGGTAACCATCCTATTTCATTTAGCATAATGTCCACCAATTTTACTGATGTTTCTGCAAATGACAAAATTTCATCTCTTTTATGGCTGTATAAGATTCCATTGTGTATATATACCACATTTTCTTTGTCCATGCATCTGTTAATGAACACTTCGGTTGATTCACTACTTTGGCTATTGAAAATAGTGCCACAATAAATATGAAGGTGAAACTGTCTCTTCAATATACAGATATCTCTTTTTTTTTAGAATATATACCCAGTAGTAGGATTGCTGGATCACAGGGGTATATATGTTTAGTTTTTGGAGCAATTTCAATACACTGTGTTGCAATGGCTGTACTAATTTACATTCCTACCAACCGTGTACCAGTGTTTCCCTTTCTCTATGTCCTTGCCAGCATGCGTTATTTTTTGTCCTTTTGATAATAATAATAGCCATTTGAACTGGAGTGAGATGATATCTCATTTTGATTTGTATTTGCTTGATGATTATGATGTTGAGCAATTTTTCTTATACTTTTTGGTCATTTGTATATCTTCTTTTATAAAATCTCTACTCAGGTCAATTTTTTGTTTTAAAATTATGTTTATATACATACACACACACACACACACACACACATATATATATATATATATATATATATATATATATATATATAGCTATTGAGTAGTTTGAGTTTATATATTCTGGATATTAACTCCTTGTCAGATGTAGAGTTGGCAAATATTTTCTTTAATTCCATAGGTTGTCTCTTCAGTCTGCTGTTTCCTTTGCTGTTCAGTGCATTTTAGCTGATGTAATTCCATTTGCCTACTTTTGCTTTTGTTGCCTATGCTTTGAGATCTTATCCCCAAAATAATTACCCAGACCAACGTCCACTAGAATTTCCTCTATGTTTCCTTCTAGTAGTTTATATTTTCAGGTGTTGGATTTAAGGCTTCATTCCATTCTGAGTTGTTTTTCATATAAGGTCAGAGATAAAGGTCTAATTTTTGTAGACCCCTTCTGTATATGGATATTCAATTTTCCCAGCACCATTTAATGAATAAAGTATTCTTTCCCCATGGTATGTTCTTGGAGGCTCTGTTAAAAAACAGTTGGCTATAAATGTGTGAATGTATTTCTGCGTTCTCTACTCTGTTCCACTGGTTTATTTATCTTTGTTTTTTGCCAGCACCATACTATTTTTCTTACCATAGCCTTATTGTACATTTGGAAGTCAGAAAATGTGACACCTTTTACTATAATTCTTCTTCTTCTTTTTTTATTTGGCTAGGATTTCTTTGGCTATTTGGGGTCTTTTGTGGTACCATATCAAATTTAGGATTTTTTTTTATTTCTGTAAAGAATGTCATCGGTATTTTGACAGGAAAATCATAGAATCTTTAGATCACTTTAATATGGACATTTTAACAATATTAATTCTTCAAATCTATGAACATGCATATATTTTCATTTTTTGTGCACTCTTCAATTTCTTTGATCAATGCTTTATAGCTTTTATTGTAGAAGCATTTCCTTTCTTTGATTAAATTTACTCCTATGTATTTTTTACAGCAATTATAAATGAGATTGTATTTTTTATTTCTTTTTCTGATTATTCACTGTCAGTATTTAGAAATGCTATTGATTTTTGCACGTTAATTTTATATCCTGCAAATTTAATGAATTTGTTTATCAGTTCTAACAGTGCTTTGGTGGAGTCTTTAGATTTTCTAACTATAGGATCATTGTGTTTGTGAACCAAGATAATTTTTCCCGGATCGTAAAGGAAAGGCTTTAATTTTTCCCTATCTTGTATGATGGAAGCTGTGGGTTTCTTATATATACTTTTATTGTCTTGAGGTAAGTTACTTCTATACCTGGTTTGTTGAGGGTTATTATCATTAAGAAATGTCAGATGTTATCAAATGCTTTTGCTTTATCTATTAAAACTCATATAGTTTTGGTTATCAATTCTGTTAATGTAATATATCCTGTGTATTGATTTGCATAAGTTGAGCCATCATTTAATCCCTGGAATGAATCTAACTTGATCAGAATAAAAAAATTTTAATGTGTTGTCGAATTTGATTTGCTAGTATTTTGTTGAGGATTTTTTTCATCTATGTTCATCAGGAATATTGACCTGCAGCTTTCTCTTTTTGTGTTTTTATTTGGTATTGAAATCAGGATAATTCTGGCCTCATACAATAGTTTGGAATTTTCTGTTCTTCAATTTTTTAAAAACAATTTGAGTAGAACTGATATTAGTTCTTTAAATGATTGGTAGAATTTGGCAGTGAAGTCACCAGATCATTGGCTTTTGCTTGATGAGAGACTTACTACTGCTTCAATCTTGTTACTTGTTGTTGGTTTGTTCAAGATTTTAGTTCGTGGTTCAATCTTGATAGGTTGTATGTGTCCAGGTATTTATATATTTCTTCTAAGTTTTCCTATTTGTTGACACATAGTTGTTCATAATGGTATTTAATGTTCCTTTGATTTCTGTGGTATCAGTTGTAATATATCCTTTTTCATTTCTGATTTTATTTATTTGTGTCGTTTTTCTTTTTTCTTGGTTATTCTAGCTACAGGTTTATCATTTTTTAAATCTCAAAGCAATTTTTTGCTTTTTTGATCTTTTGTATTTTGTAGTTTTAAATTCTTTTGCTTTACTCTGATCTTTATTATTTGTTTCCTTCTAATAATTCTGGGTTTAGTTTGTTCTTGCGTTTTTAGTTCCTTAAGGTGTATTGTTGGATTGTTTATTTGAAGTCTTTCTATTCTGTTGATGTAGGTGTTTACTGATATATACTTCCCTCTTAGGATCACTTAGTATACCATAAGTTTTATTCTGTTGTGTTTCCATTTTCATTTACCTCAAGAAATTTTCAAAATTGTCTTTGTAATTTCTTCATTTCCCCATTCATATTTCAAAAGCATGTTTAATTTCCATGAATGCATATAGTTTGCAAAGTTCCTTCTGTTGTTGATTTCTAGTTTTATTCCACTGTGTTTAGAAAAGGTACTTGGTATAATTTTGATTTTTTAAAAATTGTTAACTCTTGTCTGGGGACCTAAAATATGGTCCATCTTTGGCAATGCTCCATGTGTTATTGAGAAAAACGCATATTTTGCAGCCGTTCAAGGCAATATTCTGTAAATGTCTTTTAAGCCTATTTGGTCTGGAGTGTAGTTTAACTCTCATGTTAATTTTCTGTAGAGGTGAATTGTGTATTGATGAAAGTTGGTTGTTGAAGTTCCCTATTATTATCATACTGCAGTCATTTTCTCTTTTTTGTTCTATCAATATTTATTTTCTATATTTGGGTGTTCCGGTACTGGGTACATACATATTTAGAATTGTTATATCTTCCTGTGGAATTAACCACTTTATCATTATATAGGGAACTTTTTTGTTTCTTTTTATGTTCTTTGACTTGTAGTCTGTTTTATCTGATAGAAGTATAGCTAATCCTGCTATTGTTTTCGTTTCCACCTGCATGGAGTGTCTTTCTTCATCCCTTCTATTTGAGTCTGTGAGTGACTTTTTAGGTGAAGTGTTTCTTGTAGGCAGCCTATAGTTGAGTCATTTTATTTATTTATATTTTTAATTAACAAATAATAATTGTTTATATTTGTGGGGTACATGGCAGTATTTCAATATGTACATTGCATAGTGATCATATAGAGAAATTTGCATATTAAATACCTCAAATATTTGTTATTTCTTTGTGTTGGGAACATTTCAATATTCTCCTTTTAGGTATTTACAATTATATAATATATTCTTGTTAACTATGGTCATCTTACATTGATATAGAATACTGTAATTTATTCCTACTGTCTTGCTGTAATTTTGTATCCTTTAGCAATTCTCTTCCAATCCCACCTTTTCCCCATCCTTCCCAGATTGTATTATCTTTAATTATATGAGATCAATGTATTTTAGCTGTTAAATAAAAGTCAAATAAAAGGGAGACCATGCCATGTTTACCTTTTCGTTCCTGGCCTATTACACGTTACATAATATCCTCCACTTCCATTTATGCTCCTGCAAATGACAAGATTTTTTTCTTTTTTAAGGCATATATATATATAAAATATATAACAATATATAATATATGTTATATAAAATTATATATATAATAGATAATATATATTATATATATAATGTTTTCTTTATTCATTAACCCATTGATAAACACTTAATTTGATTCACTATTTTGGCTATTGTGAATAGTGTTGCAATAAACATGGGAGTGGAGACATTTCTTCAATCTAATGATTTTCTTTGGATAGATTCCCATAGTGGGATTTCTGGATCATATAGAAGTTCAATTTTTAGTTATTTGTGAAAATTCCATACAGTTCTCCATAGTGGCTGGAGTTTACATTTCTACCAATAGTGTTCTATTTTTTCCACATTCCTTCCAGAATATATATATTTTTTATAATAGCCATCCTAACTGAGATGAGATGCTATCTCATTGTGGCTTTGATTTTCATTTTCCTGATTAGTTATGTTGAGCATTTTTTCATATGCCTGCTGGCCATTTGTATGTCGTCTTTTGAGAAATGTCTCTTCCTATCATTTGGCCATTTTTAGATTGGATTATTTGTTTCTTTGCTGTTGAGATCTTTAAATCCTTTGTATATTCTGAATGTTAACCCTGATCAGAAGAGAAGTTTGAAAATATTTTATCCCAGTGTGTAGGTTGTCTTTTCACAATGTTGACGTTTTCTTTTCTGTGCAAAAGTTTTTTAGTTTGCTACAGTTCCATTTGTTCATTTTTGCTTTTACTGCCTGTGCTTTTAAGGTCATATTGATAAAATCTTTGCCCAGAAAACACTTCTTAAGTGCTTCCCCTATATTTGTTTCTAGTAGTTTTATAGTAGTTTAATCATTTGAGGTCTTACGTTTAGTTCTTTTATTCATTTTGATTAGATTTTTATATAGAGTACCAGGTGGGGGTCTAGTTTCGTTCTTCTGCATATGGATACCCAGTTTTTCTAATATTATTTATTGAAGAGACTGTCACTTCCTCACAAATCTGATTGGCACCTCTGTTAAAATTAATTTACTATAGATATAAATTTATATAATCAATTAATTAATTAGATTACTTTTATGTGTCTTTTGTTCCATCAGTCTATGTGTCAATTTTTATGCCAATATCATACTGTTTTTATTACTACAGAATTTAATATATTTTAAAGTCTTGTAGTTTGATACCTCCAGGTTTGTTCTTTATACTCAGGATAGCTTTGGGTATTCAGGGTCTTTTTTGGTTCCATACAAATTATAGAATTATTTTGTCTATTCCTGTGAAGAATGCCATTGGTGTTTTGATTGAGATTGTGATGAATCTACAGATCACTTGGGTAGTATTTTCATTTTAACAATATTAATTTTTCTGATCCATGTGCAAGAAATGTCTTTTCATTTGTTTGTATCTTTTTTTTTTCTTTCATCAGTGTTTTTTTCTTTTCCTTGTAGAGGTCTTTCAACTCCTTGGTTAACTTTATTCCTACATCTTTTATTTTATTTTTTGTGGCTACAATAAATGGGGTTGCCTTAATGATTTCCTTTTTAGCTTGTTTTTCATGTATAGAAGTATTACTAATTTCTATGTATTAATTTTGTGTCCTGCAAACCTACTGAATTTGTTTATCTACATCTTCATTTGCATGGAATATTATTTGCCAAAATTATAGCAGTGATTGGTTTATATATATACATCTTCATTTGCATGGAATATTATTTGCCAAAATTATAGCAGTGATTGGTAATTATAGCAGGGATTGGTTTCTTTGCTGTGCAGGACCAGAATTACAGCCAATCCTGGGCTCAAGCTCCACATGGCTGGAGTTGTGGCATTCAGAAACCCATGTTGGTCTGGCATAATAAAAATGAAGCCCTAGTGCTGTAAAGGTGCATTGGCTACTGGCCCCCAGAGCAGCATGCACTCCAGAGATGGCTCTGGATTTAAGATGGGGCCATGCTAAAGAAGATTGGCTCCCTGGAGGTGGGGCAGGGAGTGCACACCTGTGCTTTTAATCCCGGACAATATTGTGTAGTCCCTGGCAATTCTCCAAATTGGGTTCAGGTCAGTGGGGACTGTGAGACTCTTTGGTTTTAAGTATTGTAATTATTCGTAGGGGTATTGGAGGCTTGTGGGGGTCTTCTGTTTACCTTTTTCCTGCAATGGGATATTCCTCCTGACTTCAAGCAGATCCAATCTGGGTGAGACAGACAAGGGTGCAGAAGCTAAGCTCCTCCATGCTGCTCTCTTAGACTTCCAATAACCACAGGTACATTTTCACTCTTCCAGTGCAATCCAGCACTCTTCCTCTGATACTCTAGTCAAGTCATAGCTGTTTATTTATTGCCTGTTCCTTTCTTGTGAGGGACAATAAATGCCAGACATTTCTAGTCAGCCATGTTGCTGGGTCTAATTTTACAATCTGTTTAGCTCATATATGTCTTTTAATTGAAGAATGTAGTCTATTTAAAGTTATTATTGATATGTAAGGATTTGCTACAAAATTTTGTGGTTTTCTGGGTGTTTTATATATCGTTCCTTCCTTTTTCTTCTCCCACTCGGTTCCTTTGTGGTAAAGTAATTTTCTTTAGTAGTCTATTTTGATCCTGTGCTATTTATTTTTAGTGTTTTTATTATGGATTCTTGCTTTGTGGTTATCATGAGGCTTATCATTTCTTTATCTCTCTTTCATGTCCAAAGAATATCTTTGCTAGGTACAGTGTTCTTGGTTGCCAGTATTTTTGCTTCAGCACTTTGGACAAAGAATCTCACTCATTCCTGGACTGCAGGATTTGTGCTGAGAAATCTGCTGAACGCTGCATTGGGGCTCCACTGAATGTAATGTATTTTTTTCTCTCTTGCTGATTTATTTCTTGTCTTTCATTTTTGCTAATTTGATTATAATTTGCCTTGAGGATTTTCTCTTTGAGCTGTATTTGGTTGGTTACCCCCACCTTCCTGTACTTACGTGGTGGTGTATTTCTCCGGATTTAATAAATTTTTAGCTATTTTTTCTTAAGTATGCTTTCTAGGTCTTTTTCTTGCCTATCGCCTTTGGGAATTCCTATTATGAGGAGTTAGTTAGCTTGAGTGTTGCATAATTATCATAGGACTTCTTAATTTTTATTAATTCATTTTTTTCCTTTCTGCTTCTCTGATTTGCTAATTTCATGTGTTCCGTCTTCAAGATTGTTAATTCTTACCTCTGTTCAAGTGTGTAGTTGAAGCTTTCTAATGAGTTTTTAAATTCAGTTATTTTATTTTTTATTTCTAGTATTTCTATCTTTTAACTGTTTGTGTTTCATTGTCCAATTTATCAAATTGTTCCTTGGGTGTTTTAAAGTTTCAATTTATACTTTCTTGTGATTTCCAACTTTTTAAAAATTATTCTGGATTCTGCAACATCTTGTAGATCTTCTATTATTCTGGGTCCATTGCTTGACACTCTTCGTTTCTTTTTTTGTCATATTTTCCTGAGTTTTTACAATCTTCTTATCTTTATATTGATACCTGCATATCCAAGGAGACATCTACCTCTTCCAGTTTTTGCAGGTGTTTTATGATGGTATAAGGTTTTTACTACTTAGGATTGGAATATAAATGCTGACCTGTTTCTTGTCATCCTGGGGAGAACTTTTGGTGGTCATGGCACTGGAGCCAACCGATTGGACTGCCATTGTTTCCTGGTCTGGGGAAGACTTGTAGTTAACACTGAATCTTAAATTCTGCTTTGGACCTTAATTGCTTCCCTGTAATTGTTTTATGGTTTGGAGGAAACTTATAATATGCGTCTGAACTTTGTTTCTGAACTATATTGCTGCCATGTCATTGTTTTCTAGTCTGAGGAAGACTTAAGCAGAAACCAGAACTTAATACCAACATCTTAGTTGTTTTTGCATCAGGAGAGGTATCAACATAAGCTCCTGGACTTTGTGCAAAATCTGGTTAGGAATTCAGTCCTTCTCACAACTTGTGCCCCTTGCACAATTATGGCACTGAGTAGTCTCTTTTGAGTGATGTCACCAGTGATCAGAGTGCAGCTGTCAATATTTGTGCACCTGTTAATGTTCAGTGTTTAACCCCAGGTGGTTCAGCCCTCCTGGAACTCCCAGTGGTTCCCATGGTACAGAACCAGAGTGGGCTTTCTATGAATTTTCGCATACCAATGGAAATTTTACACTTGTACTTCTAATTCCCTCTTCTCACCTTGGAAGCATTAGGCCTAGAGAAATTTTCTGCATGTGACATTATGCTAGCTTGAGGGAGAAGGGACAGTATGAAACTATCATTTTTCTTACCAGTCATGGTAATTCTGTGGGCCTGGAGGTTCTTCCACCTCTTCCCTGAGTTCTGGTAAACTCAGCATAGTTTTCTTGTCTTTGAATATTTTTGTGGAAAGAGTCATGGTGAAGGATCCTCTATTCCACCATCTCGCTGATGTCAATTGGTCTTTTTAAGACCAGCAAATAGTTCTAAGGTGTGTAATACACTCACACGTACACAAAATTTACAAAGACTCATCAATACAATGGATATCAAATGTAAATTTCTACTTCATGAGAAAACATTAAATCTCATATTCTTAATTCATGGTTTAAATAGTGATTTAAACTGAGTAAAACTTTTAAAGTATAAGTTTATACATGATAAGATTGTGCATAATGAAATGATAATAATAATCCCTTTATATGCCTGTATTCAAGATATTCTCCAAAGCAGAACAAGCCTTTGTCCATCCCACTAATCTATACAAATATAAACCCTGTTAAGATAACTCTAAATTATGAGAGGAGGAAGGGCAATGTTTGTTGTAAAGAAAATAGGAAAACTATATCTTTAGTCTTAAAATGTAATACTATTTTAAGGGATTCTTCAATTAAAAGCATTATTTTTATAAAAATAATTACTTGAATCTATAGAAAATATGTGTTATAATAATGTTTGAACAATTACACTTTGACAGATTAATTACCATATTACATAATACCAAAAATTATTTTAAATTAAAATAATTTTATATTATAGGTTAGTATTACATAAAATGCTCAAGCTGATGTCTAATATTTACATATTGATAGATACAAATTTATTTGGTGAATAGAAATTAGAAGATTGACTATAAGATATTTTAAAATATATTGATATTTTAAAAATAAGTAATCAAATCTTGTTTCAAATCAAAATTAGTATAATGCAATGCAACCTCAATTTAATTTAACTACATTTAGTGATTGTCCAAAAAATAATTCTCAAATTAGAAAAAAATTGTTTTTTATATATATTAGTGTTGTGTGTGTTTGTGTCTGTGTGTATCAGTAATATTGTATTTCTACTTATGGCAAGATTGTAATAACTTTTATTTTTAAAATCACTCAAAATATTCTTAATATATTGTTACATTATAATTATAAATAATGGTTATATGTGACATTTAAATTTTACTTATGACATTATCTTCAATTTGACTTATTTCTAAATACTTGGAGTAGAAATACTTTGTTTTTTTATCTTCTATTAGAAGAATAGCAGATGCTTCTAAAAAGCAACTGTCACTTTCCCTGTATTTCGTATGGCACAAGTCTCATTATTATGTGTAAAATTTATTTTCAGCAGTATGCATAACTATCCTTAAACAAGCATCTAGATACTCTTAAAATTAATATTTATTTATTTATTTTTGAGACGGAGTCTCACTCTGTCACCCAGGCTGGAGTGCAGTGGCGTGATCTCGGCTCACTGCAAGCTCCGCCTCCCGAGTTCACTCCATTCTCCTGCCTCAGCCTCCCAATTAGCTGGGAGTACAGGTGCCCACCATCATGCCCAGCTAATTTTTGTATTTTTAGTAGAGACGGAGTTTTACCATGTTGGCCAGGCTGGTCTCAAACTACTGGCCTCAGGTGATCCGCTCACCTCGGCCTCCCAAAGTGCTGGGATTCCCGGCATGAGCCACTGGAAAGAATTGTTTAAAACAAATGAAAGTTAGCAGACATAAGACACTTATAAATAGGAGTATAAAAGGCATAATTAGAGTTTCAGGTAATAAATTTAATTATCACACAAACACTATCAAGAATATTAAAACTATTAACAAATTTGAGAGAGAAATCTTATGCACATATTATGTTCAATTACAGATTAAATCAATATGTCATTTTTAGCAGTATGCATAACTATCCCTAAAACAAGCATCTAGATACTCTTAAAATTATTATTGTTATTATTATTGAGATGAAGTCTCACTCTGTCACCCAGGCTGGAGTGCAGTGGCGTGATCTCGGCTCACTGCAAGCTCCGCCTCCCGAGTTCACACCATTCTCCTGCCTCAGCCTCCCAAGTAGCTGGGACTACATGCGCCCACCACCATGTCCGGCTAATTTTTTTTTTGTATTTTTAGTAGAGATGGGGTTTCATCGTGTGAAACCACCGAGCCAGGATGGTCTCGATTTCCTGACCTCGTGATCCGCCCGCCTCGGCCTCCCAAAGTGCTGGGATTACAGGCATGAGCCACCACACATGGCCAAAATTATTTTTAAATTCAAAGTTTTAAAGAATGGTAGCTCTAAATCTAAGAACATAAAACTCTTAAAACTATTCTACTTACTTTCCTTTCTCTCAATAATATTTAGAACTCATGACATCAAGAAACTTACAACAGAATTGGCTTACTGGAATAAAGCAGCCAAATAGTTAATATGCTTGCTTCTGACTCTTCTCTTGTGTCTTGGTAGCTGAGAGGTGCATTCCTATGATAGTTGGAACACCACAGTCCCTTTAATACTCTAAGCAGTAAATGCTTCCAAATTGCATTTTCCTTTTGACTCTAACCACCTGACCCTTTTCTGGGCCACCAGAGCTGTCCATCTTGTTTTTTGGTGTAATCCTCATATAACCACACACTACTTCCTACCAGTGCTGGCATTAAGGTGACATGAATTTGCACCTCTATTTCCAATCTTTGAACTGGATGGCAATCATGTGTTTATAAATTCCTTACAAATATCAAAGGTATAACAAATTGTTATCTCATTCAGGAGAGGCAAAGATATATCTTTATTTTGGTGATAGGATAATTCTAAATCTTCAAAAGGAAATCGAGGAGATAAAATTTTTCTTTGCTAATTGTGACTGCTTCTTAAAAATCATTTTTTGTTATATGATTACATCAAAAATTCCCTCTTTATGGTGCCTCACAAATATCCATCCCAAGCTGCAAAATTTATGAATAAGAAAGAACTGTAACACATAAACAGAAAAACTAAGTGCTCACTCTTTACTGTGAGATATGTTTGTAATAAGGCTGAAAATATGGAGATAATAGTACTGGCTTGGTTAGGAAAAAGGGAGAGAGAGAGATTAACTTTCAAAAATGACCTTAATCAACAAAGGGAAAATGCAAAGACATTCCTTGCAGAGAAGTAATATGCAGAAAATGGTTAGCTGCATACTCCTGGCATGGATAAAAACTTTTAATATTGGGTTGTCCCAGGGCTTATTACTTAGTCCTATTTTCTATGTATACTCAATCCCTTTGTGATATATCTGGTCTCATGTCAGTAAATACATTTATGTGCCCATGATCTTCATACCTTTATTATCAACTCTCGACTTAATTATTCAATGGCCTTTTCTGCACATCCACTTGAAGGTCTAAGTAGCAACTCAAACATAACATGCTAGATTGGCTCTATTCACATTGTTTCTTACCTTAGTTGATGGAAATTCCATCAATCTATTTGTTAAACTGAAAAATTTCAAATTATTATTGCCTTTTTTTCTCTCCTCCAAACTCTACAACAAATATGTCACAAAATCAGCCCCATCATATTCCTGTGTTTTTTTCTCTACCTCCCCAGTATCCTACCACACCTTCAATCTTCTGGGGCAATTCCCCTTCATTCAGGAAATCCCACTCAAGAACGTTTTGCAGAATAATAAAATTAAAACTAGCCTCGGACAATTAAAATTTGAATCCTGTTCTCACCTCACCTGAAATTCATGTCAACACCAAAGGTTTTCCTAAAGTTAGAAAGACAGATTTAAATTCACAACTGAGCTCGGAAATCTATTGGATATGTGTTACTTGGGATAGCTTCATCATTATCATTTAATTCATCTTCTACTGAGTAATTTTATGGGGAGAAATGAATAAATAGTAAAGCTAGCAAGATATAATCAGTCCTCCACAATATCCAAGAATTACTAGATATGGAAATAATACTTGATAAACAGCTTAAAAGACTATTTATAAAATTCTCTCCAATATCATATTGAAAAAATATATAGTCTAGCAAGTAAGAAAAACAGTGTACCAAGTATTAGTATTAACATTAAAAATAGACTTCTAAGCTTGAGGAAATGTCATCAATTGATTAAGATGCAATATATCACAATAGTCAGAATGGCTATTATTAAAAAGTCAACACATAACAGATGCTGATGAGGTTGTGGAGAGAAAGGAATGCTTATACACTGTAGGTGGGAGTGTACATTAGTTCAACCATTGTGGAAGACAGTGTGGCAATTCCTCAAAGACCTAAAGACAAAACCCAACAATCCTATTACTGTGTATATATCCAAAGGAATTGATATGGTTGGTCTGTGTCCCTACCCAAATCTCATAGTGAATTATAGCTCTCACAATTTCCATGTTTTGTGACAGGGACCCAGTAGGAGGTACTTGAATTATACAAGTGGGTCTTTCCTGTGCTGTTTTTCATGATAGTGAATAAATCTCATGAGATCTGATGGTTTTATAAGAGGGAGTTTCCCTGCACAAGTTCTTTTTTCTTTCCTGCCTCCATGTGCGACATGCTTTTCACCTTTTGCCATGACTGTGAGGCTTCTCCAGCCATGTGTAACTGTGAGTCCATTAAACCTTTTTCTTTTGTAAATTGCCCAGTCTCAGATATGTCTTTATCAGCAGCATGAAAACAGACTAATACTGTAAATGGGTACCAGTAGACTGGGGTGCTTCTAAAAAGATACCCCAAAATATGGAAACGACTTTGGAACTGGGTAACAGGCAGAGTTTGGAACAGTTTGGGGGGCTCAGAATAAGATAGTAAAATGTGGGAAAGTCTGGAACTTCTTAGAGACTTGTTGAATGGCTTTGAACAAAATGTTGATAATTATATGATGATTAAATCCAGGCTGAGGGTCTCAGATGGAGATAAGGAACTTGTTGGGAACTGGAGGAAAGTTGACTGTTGTTATGTTTTATCAAAGAGACTGGTGGCATTTTGCCCCACCCTAGAGATTTGTGGAACGTTGAACTTGAGAGAGATGATTTAGGATATCTGGTGGAAGAAACTTCTAAGCAGCGTGTATTCAGGAGGTGATTTGAGTGCTGTTAAAGGCATTCAGTTTTAAAAGAGAAACAGAACATAAAAGTTCAGACAATTTGCAGCCTACCCATGTGATAAAAAAGAAAATCCCATTTTCTGAGTAGAAATTCAAGCTGGCTGCATAAATATGCATAAGTAATGAGAAGCTGAATGGGCACAATGTCTCTAGGGCATATTAGAGACCTTTACAGCAGCCCCTACCATCACACGCCTAGAGGCCTAGGCAGAAAAAATGGTTTTATAGACTGGGCCCAGGGTCCTGTGCTGTGTGCAGCCTAGAGATTTGGTGCCCTGCGATCCAGTCACTCCAGCCATGACTGAAAGCAGCCAAGGTACAGCTCGAGTCGTGGCTTCAGAGGGTGCAAGCCCCAAGCCTTGGCAATTTGCATGTGTTGTTGGGCCTGCGGGTACATGGAAGTCAAGAATTGAGATTTGGAACTTTCTCCTAGATTTTAGAGGAGGTATGGAAATTCTTGGATGGCCAGGCAGAAGTTTGCTGTGGGTGGGGCCCTTATGGAGAACTTCTGCTTAAACAGTGTGGAAGTGAAATGTGGGGTTGAAGGCCCCACAGAGAGTCCCTACTGGGGCACTGCCTAGTGGATCTGTGAGAAAAGGGCCATTCTCCTCCAGACCCCAAAATGGTAGATCCACTGACAGCTTGCATTGTGTGCTTGGAAAAGCCATAGACACTCAATGCTAGCCTACAAAAGCAGCTGGTTGTGGGGCTATACCCTGTGAAGCCACAGAGTCAGAACTGCCCAAGGCTGTGGGAGCTCACTTCTTATATCAGTGTGACCAGGATGTGAGACATGGAGTCACAGGAGATCATTTTGGAGCTTTAAGATTTGACTGCCCCACTGGATTTCAGACATGCATGGGGTCTGTAGCCCCTTTATTTTGGCCAATTTCTCCCATTTGGAACAGCTGTATTTTCCTAATGCCTGTACTGTCAATGTATCTAGGAAGTAACTAACTTGCTTTTGATTTTACAGGCTCATAGGTGGAAGGGGCTTGCCTTGTCTCAGATAAAATGTTGGATTGTGGACTTCTGAGTTAATGCTGAAATGATTAAGTCTTTGGATGACTGTTGGGAAGGCATAGTTTGTTTTGAAATGTGAGGACATGAGATTTGCCAGGGGCCAGGGCAAAATTATATGGCTTGACTCTGTTCCCGCCCAAACCTTATCTTGAATTGTAACTCCCATAATTCCCACGTGTTGTGGGAGGGACTTGGTTGGAGGTAATTTAATTATGGGGGTGGATATTTCCCGTACTGTTCTCATGGTAATGAATAAGTCTCACGAGATCTGATGGTTTCATAAGGAGGAGTTTCTTTGCACAAGTTCTCTTCTCATGTCTGCTGCCATGCAAGACATGCCTTTCACCTTCTGCCATGATTGTGTGGCCTCCCCAGCCACGTGGAACTGTGAGTGCATTAAATCTCTTTCTTTTGTAAATTGCCTAGTCTCACGTGTGGCTTTGTCAGCAAAGTGAAAACAGAATAATACAGGGATATAAACCATTCTATTAAAAAGACACGTGCATGTGCATGTTCATTGCAGCACTATTCACAATAACGAAGACATGGAATCAAACTAAATGGCCATTGATGTTAGACTAGATAAAGAAAATGTGGTACATATACATCGTGGAATACTATGCAGCCATAAAAAACTAGATCATGTCTTTTGCAGGAACATGGACGGAGCTGAAGTCCATTAACCTTAGCAAACTAATGTAGGAACAGAAAACCAAATACTGCATAATCTCACTTATAAGTTTTAGCTAAATGATGAGAACACCTGGACACATAGAGGGAAACAACAAACACTGGAACTTTGAAGGGTGGTGAGTGGGAGGAGGGAGTGGATCAGGAAAAACAACAAATGGGTACTAGGCTTAGTACCTGGGTGATAAAATAGTCTTCACAACAAAGCCCCATGACACAAATTTGTTGATGTGTTAGGTTGGCACAGAAGTAATTGCAGTTAAAAATAATGGCAAAAACTGCAGTTACTTTTGCAACAACCTAATAACAAACCTGCACATGTACCTGTTAACTTAAAATAAAAGTTCAAAAAAATGTACTGTAGGCCGGGCGTGGTGGCTCACGCCTGTAATCCCAGCACTTTGGGAGTGTGAGGCTGGCAGATCAGGAGGTCAGGAGATTGAGACCATCCTGGCTAACACGGTGAAACCCCCCGTCTCTACTAAAAATACAAAAAATTAGCCAGGCGTGGTGGTGGGTGCCTGTAGTCCCAGCTACTCGGGAGGCTGAGGCAGGAGAATGGCGTAAACCCAGGAGGCGGAGCTTGCAGTGAGCCGAGATCACGCCACTGCACTCCAGCCTAGCGACAGAGAGAGAGTCCATCAAAAAAAAAAAAAAAAAAAAAAGTACTGTAACTGACCTAGTTAAAAATTTAAATTAGTGTGAAAAATCACTGATTTGGAATAACTAAAATAAATAGATGAAATTGTAGAATGTATGCTAGAAAATTAGCACTCAAAATTAACTAATGTCATTATCAGTTAGGCAATAACCATTACTCCTAAACCTGCCCTCTAAGACTTATAAAACGAATTGCTTCTGTATAATATTGAAGACTAGGCCTTATTCAACAACTTGGTAAGATAATAAGAGCAAAACCCTTAGAAATCTGAATTATCATCTCAAATTATTGACTAAGTTACCTGATCATTCTACTAAGGTAGAAGTCAAAGAAGGTCTCAGACACATTATAAACACTTTTTTAGAAAATATTACCTCTTGTCCTGTCCTTGTAATAGACTATTCTCTGGTAAGAAGGCTTACTGTGGAAGATTATAATTTGTATAATTCCTATGGGCTATGAACAAAATAATCAATATTGTTTGCCAATGGTTTGAAACCTCAATATATACTATTTAGTGCCACTTGAAGCAAAAATTTTACTCTGACAGTATGTTTTCATTTACTTAATGTTACAATTGATATGGATATCAAGTGTTATACAAATTCACATGGTAAAAACAAATACCCTTGAACATCAATGAGTCAACATTTTAATAGCCCCATCATATGTTTTTTCCTAAATTTTAAATTAGAAAGTAGCAAGTAATTAGTTTCCTTGTAGATACACATTGATTTGATAAGGGGACATTAGTTTTTTACTTCTCTGACATGAAGAAACTTGTCCAAGCTGAGTATAAAGAGAGGGCTATTCAAATCCATCCTTCAAAATAAAATTAAAATCATTCTTAGGATCCACTGGCTAGTACAGACAATGGATTCCAATATATTCTGAAACTGAATTACTTTTATATAATTTAACTAGGCTTCATGTATTGAATATGCTTCCTTATTATCTTGAAACTGAGTAGGCCTTTAATAAGGTTTCTCCATGAACCTCCTACGATGGGTAATTCTGATTACCAAAAAAACTTTTTTATTTATATGTTTATGAAAGAGAAGTATTTTGGCATCATATTATACTATGCAAACCACACTGACTGATATTTTTATAAAGGGGTTACTTATAAAACATAAAGATGGGTTCATTGGGTTGTTCAAGGATGCTATTAGAAAGCCACGAGATTTTAGGTCAAATTAAGATGATGAAAACCTCTGCAATGTACCAACCTCTAAAATCCAGGAGATATAATGGGGTAAAAATAAGATGTTCAACTAGTAAAATCAGATAAATTGGCCACAATTTGTACAAAATGAAAGAAAATATGTCCAGTTTATATTTCCCTAGTAACTCATACTATCTAGGAAAATAAGTATTTTAGAAGATAGACTAGATATACAGAAAGATGACTCCAGGGTGTGGTTGAAAGGTTCTATGAGAAAGGCACAAAATTTGGGTCTAAAGTAAGTAACCCTCCAGAAACCTTCAGATTGACTATATAAACAGTGATATTTTTTCGCCATGTCCTCACTCAAATCTTATCTGGAATTGAAATCTGAATTGTAATCCCCACCTGTGGAGGGAGGGACCAGGTGGGAGGTGATTGGGATCATGGGGGCAGCTTCCCCCATGCTATTATCATGATAGTGAATGGGTTCTCATGAGCTCTGATGGTTTTATAAGTGGCAGGTTCCACACACCCCTACCTTACCTGCCTCCATGTAAGACATGGCTATTTTCCCTTGTGTCATAATTGTAATTTCCCGAGGCCTTCCCAGCCATGTGAAACTGTGAATCAATTAAACCTCTTTTCTTTATAAATTTATTTAGTCTCAGGCAGTTCTTTATAGCAGTGTCAAAATAGAGTAATACCAACAGCTATATAATGAATTATGAAAATATTCTGGTCATAATCCTCTTAATCTCAGAAAAAAATTTTGTTGAAGAAGGTGTTAGATTTTGTGTCCTTCTTTGAAATGTATCCACTTATTTGCTAGCATTAGAAGTAGTCACTTTACTACAAGCATCATCCATGAATTCATGAAGATGTGTTGCCATACAAAAATGCTGCTAATGCTATTCTAAATCTTCTGGGAAAGTGGACAAAAATTAAGGTTCTATTATAATAGGCTAAATTTTAGAATTCCTTGTACTACCTTCATCAAATATTTTCTCTTAGCTCTCATGACTTTTCATTCTTCCACATGTGGAGTTCGCAGACTTTCCTTTCTTTGAAGTGATGGTGGCTGTTCCATTCATCTGGAAAAAATAAACCAATCTTACAATCTGTTATAAGCAAATATGGCTTATTATTGTAAGAGACTGAAGCATACACTTAGTATCATTATTAATGTGTGCATTTGGATTTTCTATAACGTCTTCCCAAGTCACTACTTAATGAACTAAATTCTGAACAACTGGTCTTCTGGCTTTCTGGAAGAACAAAGGAAATGGGCTCTTGAATCATGAGGGAAAAGCCCTATTGTGCCTATTGACTATGGTCAAACTATGTGGCATATCATTAAATTTACATATTAGCTCCTCAAAGAAGAATATAATACTTACATACCTAAATATATCTCGGAATTATTAACATGATGAAAATTATTATGGGAAACATAGATATTTCAGTGGTCTCCTTATATGTGGTTCTTAATGTGTCATATTGGGTTTGGGTTCTTTTCTCTTGACATAATCCAGGAATGCTTGGCTCCTTGTTTAGCAGTGAATGACAAAACTCTGGAGGCAATCCTCTTTTTAGTGTGCTCTAAGGTATGCTCTCTAGAGTTTTAAATCTTGCTGTGCAACTGGTCTTTGACTAAATTCCCTAAAGTTGTTGAAATGCAAATAATTATCAATGTAATCAATGACAAGTAAAACAATTAATCAAATAAAATAATGGTTGATTATTTGCCCCCCTCTAATAAAAAATAACCAAAAGGGGAATCTGAAAATTTAGAACTGAACTCAGTAAAATAGCTTCCAGACATTTAAAATGTTTTTTCATGTTATACAGTCCCTACAAATTAATTCTAACCAGATAATTTTATTTTTAAACATTTTCATGTTATTTATTTGTAATTTTTAATGTCCCATTAATATTGTTTTGCTTATAATTTATAAGCTAAACAGCAGAATGTATAACATAATTAATGACCCATCTGTGTTTAAAGTTTTTGATTATACTTTTAAAGCTTTATTGCTGAGTAACCTCTTTTAATATGAATAATATCGGTTTTCTGACTTTTTCTCTCAATTCCAGTTTTCCATAAATAAACTTAAAATATAAAAAATTACCTTGTTTTGGTTTCTCATCTGTGTTTTAAAATTAAATGTACTTTATCTAGGTAGTATCCCTTAAAAAAAAACAGTGCTTCCTCTCAATTTGAAACATTTAATCTAAAGTGAGAAATTCCAAATTTCTTTTCCCCTCTGTCCTTTTCCCTGGGTTGGCATTAGACATTCAGATACATGTGTCTGGTCTTTGGGCAACATCTTTCCAAAGTTACATCACCTGAAATAAATAAATTAAAAAAATAATTAAACTGTATGTAATTCTCATCTCTCCTTACCTTACTATACAATTAATACTGAAACGTCTTCATCCTCATCTTATCAACCATTTTCACTTTCATTCTGCATCTCTTGGAGCCTACTCTTGCACAATCACAGTGCAACTCAAATATGCCAGCTACTTTGCCCATTTATTTCTGTATGTTACCCTTAGTAACATTTGAAAATATGATCACTCACTCTTCTTCTCAGAGGAATACCAGAAACTCGATAGTGCTTATTTAAAGTCATACATTGCCACTCTGACACACTGGTCTGCCACACAGCCATGTCTACTTTATTGATTTCATCCCATTGTAATATGCGGAAAGCCTGAGAGACTGCCACTCTCCAGAATTCCAGAAAGGAAACAGGATATAGGTCTTTTCTTTCCTTAATTCCCCAAATTTCCTGGAGGTCTGGTTATCTAGGAAGTGGATTTAATCTCGGGGTTGGGGCAGAAATTGCATGCCTGTTGACAGTGATTCGTAACAGCATCTTTTCCCCTTTTTCTTCCAACTTTTTCAGGTTGCAAAGCTTGGAGGCTTTTTATACAGCTGTGTGTATATGTTTGTGGGTTTTGTTTGTTCATCCTTCTGTGTGCATATGCTTATGTGTGTGTATAGTGGGGGTGGTAATAGAGAATGGGAAGTTAAACTGGTTTTTCCAGATTCTGCTTCCATTTATATTTATAGCTTATATTATTCCTGGGTGAAAACCAGGTTTGTTAATTTATTTACTTTAAAAGGAAAACAAGAATTAACATTTAATTTTATGTTTTCACCTGGCAGTTAGACCCTGACATATTTCAATGAATGACACATATCCATATATCTCTTCACCCAGTGTAGAGAATAAACTTAGCCAATGTTTTGAAGAAACTATTATCCCCTTAACATACACCTAGAATAAATATTGTTATTGTCTACACCTATATCTACAGAGCAGTGTGAACGCCTTAATCGTGCTGTACTTTCTGAGATGCAAAGCATGACCTGTGCATAACTTTTTGCCTATCCTCTTTTGTATCTGTGTGTTTTAGCACCCTAATATATGTATAGCAATTAGTCTATATGTACATATTTGAGTATTGTGTGTGGAACTATTTTGTGGTTGCCTTAAGACATGCGCATACATATGCACATGCATGGATTAGAGCAATGATACTCAAATCATTTGTATAAATGGCATCCTATGAAATATTAACATCATTGTATTAATGTAGTATTATTGAGCAAATTTATTTACAAAAAGACAAAAATTATTATAATTAAATATCTCAGCAATATCTTTCAGCTTCTATAAATATATCTACAGGTTTTTCACTGTTTTATTTTTTTTAATGGGCAAATAGAAGTTATATATGTTTACGTGTATAATATAATGTTTTGATATACATCTACATTGAGAAATGGTTTAAATCAAGCTAACACATTGATCACCTCATGTAGTTATTTTTCGTGGTGAGGACATTTAAAATTTCCAAGTGTACATTAACTATAGTCACCACTCAGTAAAATAGATCTCCAGAGCTTATTCCTCCTGGGTAACTGAAACTTTATCTTTTGACTGTCATCTCTAAACCCCTCTCTTCTCCAACTCCTGGTAACCGCTTCTGTGAATTAAACTGTTTTAGATTCCACATAGGAGCGAAATCAAGGAATACTTGTCTTTTTGTGCCAGGATTATTTCATTTAACACAGTGTCCTTCAGTTTCGTCCATGCTATCACAAATGACAAAATTTCCTTCCTTTTAAAAGCCAAATAGTATTCTTTTGTATATAAATGACACATTTCAAAAATCCATTAATCAGTTGATGAACATTTAGATTGATTCCATATCCTGGTTATTGTGAATAATGCTGCAACGAATATTTGAACATAAGAATACAGATCTCTTTTTGACCTAATGATTTTTTTTTAGAGACAGAGTCTCACTCTGTTGCCCAGGTTGGGGTGCAGTAGTACGAACATAGCTCCCTGCAGCCTCAAATTCCTGGGCTTAGGGGATGCTTGAGCCTCAGCCTTCCCAGTAGCTAACACTACAGGCTCATGCCACCCTACCTGGCTATTATTGAATTTTTATTTTTCTAGAGACAAAATCTTGCTATGCTTACCAGGCTGGTCTCAAACTCCTGGTGTCAAGCAATTCTTCCACCTCATCCACTCAAAGTTCTGGACTTATGGGTGTCAGCTACCATACTCAGCTAACATACAGATTTTATTTCCTTTGGATATATACACAGAAGGGTGATTGCTGGGTTAATATGGTAGTTCTAATTTTAATTTTGTGAGGAACTTCCATACTGCTCTTCATCAGGGCTGAAATAATTTGCATTCTCACAAACAGTGTGCATAGGTTTTCTCTTCTCCACGTGCTTGTAAACACTTATTATCTTTTGTCTTTTTGATAGTAGCCATTATAACAAGTGTGAGTGATACCTTATTGTGGTTTTAATGTGTATTTCCTTGATAATTAGTGATATTGAGCATTTTAAAATATACTTGTTGACAATTGGTATGTTTTATTTTGAAAAATGTCTATTTGAGTCCCTTATCCATTTTTTTAAAAATCAGGTTGTTTTCTTGCTATCAGATTGTCTTGGTTCCTTATACATTTTGGATATTAACTCCTTATAAGTAGTATCATTTGAAAATATTTTCTCCCATCTTATAGGCTGCCTCTTCACTCCGTTGACTGTTTCCTTTGCTGTACAGAGATATTACACTCCTTATTCAGTCACTTTAGCATTGAGTTACTGCTTGAATTTTTACTAACCTGATTACACACTCTATATGTGCACATGAGGCAATGTTCTTGCTTCTATTACTAAAAATGCACTATTTGTTTGGACCCAAATTGAGGTGATTGTGCATGACTAGATTCACACCTGAAATAATATTAAAGTATCTCTACAAATACATTTTTTGTCTTCCTCAGTTTAAACTCTAGTTTGTCAAAACCTGTAGATCAGTTGGAAAAGGTTTTGAAACAGCAGTGAACTTCAGCATACAAATTGAGAACATTTACAGTATGCAAAAACGTATTAATTTTCTATTTCACCTACAGCAGTAAGATATCACAGTCTTACAAGTAAAAAAATGAGTAAACGGACCTAGATAATTGTCAGAGCTTTTTGGTTTTTCTTTTTCTTTCTTGTCTGTGAAGAACATTATCGAAAAAATTCTCTACTATCACTTGTCACATTTACTATACCAACAAAAGTAAAGGTATAGTCTGATAATAAGACAGTTCTATAAACTAAATATATAGCTTTAAAAATAGTGCTATAAAAATGTATTACTTATTACTTTTATGTTTTTTTCCTCATTTGCAGAGAGGACTAGTAAAAGATTATCTGTAAAACATTAGTTGGTTGTTAAATCTTTGACCACACAAATAGGACACCTGATTTTAGAATCTTTTAGTAGAAAGAGAGGAAGAAGTATAAGCTTAAAACTCTGCAGGCATGAGTAATAATATAAAGGCCAGTGTAAATGGACCAATAGTATTTTAGTATGAGGTTGGTGCAACAGTGATTGCATTTTTTTGCCCTTGAAAGTAACGGCAAAAGCTGCGATGACTTTTGCACCAACCTAGTAATTCTTGATTGGATTATATGAAAATCTACGAATGAGTTTTACCAATTACCCTGCACTGCATTACATAGAACAATTATACTAATATGCCACTCTTCATTCTAAAGCCTTACTTAAATTAGAAAGCAGTGCCTCCTCGGCATGTAAGTGATCCATGAAAGTTTAATATATGTACGGCAGCAATAAGAAAGACGCGACAGTAGAAATCCTATAAAGGCTATTAAAAAGGGAGGAGAAGCAAAACAAATGGGCTTTCAAGATTTATAATCCACATCATACTCATTTATCTTTTTGTTATGTTCAACAAGTCAATCCAGATCTAACATACACATTGATAAAAATTAGATTTATAAAGAATTAAAAATGCTATTTAGATCTGTGGGTGCTGTTATGTCTTATTCCTTTTTGTTTTAACTAATGAAGATAGAGCCCTCATTAGAATGGATTAGTAAGCTTGCATTCACGGTCTGTTCATGTAAGAGATAATTCAGCCCTGGTTCTTTAACAGACGGAGCTGTACTAGGGTGCTGCTATTTACATTTATGAACGAAGGTTCATGAACAATGGTATTTCTCTTGTTCTTTTCAAACAGCTCCCTAGTGATGCGATGGTGACACATTACAATCTGAAAGGATACTCTTTGAGTTTGGAGAATAGTTACCAAGCTAATGTTAACAGCACGGCTCAGCATCACAGGTAATATTTTGGGGTGGTTTAAGTTGCAAATTTTTTAAAATCGAATATAAAACTGAAAACTAAGCACAAAAATGCTACAAAGAAATTACCAACAAAAGTAATAACAAACACTTTCAGAGCATTTAGTGTACATCACTGTTCTAGGTAGTTTACGTCAAATTTCTTTCTCATAATATATTTTGGCTTAAGTTATGTTATTACCCAATTTTACAAAGACACCCTGGTAGAAAGTGGCAGTGTCAGGACTTGAACTTAAATAGGTTGATGCCAAAGATTGTGCTCTGAATTAAAACATTAAATTGCTTCTTTTCTGTCATGTTTCTAGGATTCTATTCAGAATATCAAAATAGTTAAAATGCCCAACTTTAGTTATGTACAGTAAATGCAAATTTCTGTTCTTTTAAAACTATGTGAAAAAAGAAACATATGTATATTAATTGTTAGGCCAGCATGTCTTATGTAGCTTTGAAAACTGAAGTAATTTAAAATAATAGCTTTTCTAGCCATATATTTTTCATATTGACTTGTTTTTAACAGTGTATTCTTAAAGGATATCCTTAGGGATATTTCTTTAGATAATATTTGCCAAAAATTGTAATTTATTCCAATACAAGTAAATACAATTCCCCCCCATAGGTGCCTTTATCACTAATGTGTATATTGTGTGTGATCTATAATTTTAATGTATTCTTTGAAGCAGTAATCTATTTAGTGTATTCTATGTGTACAACTCAAATTCTGAGTGCACTAGGTGTTCAAATTGGCGTGAGTAGTGAAGGATAATTGTCAGCACGAATGTTTCATAGGTAAAAATGTAATTTATTTTGTAAAGCTGCTTGATTACATGTATACCTGGAAAGGGAGATAGTTGCTTACTTCTAAAGATTTAAGGACATGGAGCCATAAAGTTTGCAATATTTATTCATATTATTAAATCATTATTGTGTCAAAAGTCTAAGTATACATTTTGATGTGTTTTTGAATGTGTATCTGTTTTAGAATCATTTAATATGGCAGAAGACTAGCATATTGCTAAATTCAAAACCATTATCCTATAACCAGAAAAATATAGTGTCCTTCTCAATAATCTCTATCCATAATAGTACACTTCTTTAACTCACTCTTATCATTGGTCTTACATTTATTCATCTCTATTTTCACCTAACCACACATTTAGCTAGAACAGCTTGGTAACCAGCAAGATCATATCCTCTAGGAATTTTGGTCAAAAGAGAACAGAAGAGGGATAAGAAGAGTAATCTCTAGAATTTATTTCTAGCCATGAATCTTCTTCTCCCCTTTTTTGAATCAGCTTGATACTACTTCAATTACAATTTTCTCTTTCTTCTTTGTCTTTATAAAAAGCTGTTCTCTGTTGTAAAGACCTTTGCTTACCAAACCATGAGACTGTAAACAAAGCTCTTAACAGACTGCACCTATTTCCATAAAATAATGGCCAAGAGGAATTGAAAACCAAAAGCTACTGGGTGTTAATTCGTGAAAGAGAAGATATTGAGCTTCATAAAATGCCAACCCCGCATATAATTTATGTTAAACATAAATACTTGGATTTTAGGTTAATATTTTTTGGTGAGACAAGACATGTCATATCAGGGACTGGGAAGCCCCAGAAAGATAAATAATTAGTTACAGTGTCTTTGTTTTAAGAACTGGAATTTGTCAGTGATGGTGAGCATTTTTTCATGTGTTTTTTGGCTGCATAAATGTCTTCTTTTGAGAAGTGTCTGTTCATGTCCTTCGCCCACTGAGAAATGCAAATCAAAACCACAATGAGATACCATCTCACACCAGTTAGAATGGCATTCATTAAAAAGTCAGGAAACAACAAGTGCTGGAGAGGATGTGGAGAAATAGGAACACTTTTACACTGTTGGTGGGACTGTCAACTAGTTCAACCATTGTGGAAGTCAGTGTGGCGATTCCCCAGGGATCTAGAACTAGAAATACCATTTGACCCAGCCATCCCATTACTGGGTATGTACCCAAAGGACTATAAATCATGCTGCTATAAAGACACATGCACACATATGTTTATTGTGGCACTATTCACAATAGCAAAGACTTGGAACCAAGCCAAATGTCCAACAATGATAGACTGGATTAAGAAAATGTGGCACATATACACCATGGAAAACTATGCAGCCATAAAAAATGATGAGTTCATGTCCTTTGTAGGGACATGGATGAAATTGGAAATCATCATTCTCAGTAATCTATCACAAGGACAAAAAACCAAACACCGCATGTTCTCACTCATAGATGGAATTGAACAATGAGAACACATGGACACAGGAAGGGGAACATCACACTCTGGGGACTGTTGTGGGGTGCGGGGAGGGGGAAGGGATAGCATTAGGAGATATACGTAATGCTAAATGACGAGTTAATGGGTGCAGCACACCAGCATGGCACATGTATACATATGTAACTAACCTGCACATTGTGCACATGTACCCTAAAACTTAAAGTGTAATAATAATAAAATTAAAAAAAAAAGAACTGGAATTTGTCAAGAAGAATTTTCCTACTGTATCATCAAACTTACTATGTGTTGATATTGGCACTCTTGCTAACAAAAAGTTCTGTAGTATCTTAGAAGTTATAAAGAACTTGAAAATTGCAAAGTGCAAAATACTAGTTTTCAATTTTGACCTGTATTTGAAATATTTATTGTAACTTTTTTGAATTATTGAAAAAATTATTGAAAAAAATTCCTAATGAAATTTTTTGAAAAACCCTGATACATTTCTCTGCATTCGTAGAATGAGAAAATTAACAAAGCACTAAAAGATAATTCAAGCAGCAATATGTAAAGTAAGTTCATAAGTAGGCCAACTCTGAGTACATGCTCAGTATTACACACAAGATAAAGGACAATGTTTTGTTTTCACCTAAAGGCATTCTCATACAGTGACTTCGAATTAATCGTTATGTCCACTGAAAATCCTTTTCACTATATACATACAGCTAATTTTTGGAGAATTCCCATGGACATATAAAGTATTTTAAGCTACCACAAAGAGAATAGGTTCAGTTATATGAACTTCTGAAGAAGTTTCAGGCATTGAGACAGAGGAAATTTATCCAAAACACCCTGCTTAACACATGTGATTAGCTGTGAAGTTATTTTTATTTCAATTTGAAAGCTGTTTATAACAATGCTTTTCTTTAAAATCTAATGACTCCCCTGGAGATCCCTTATGGTCTTTGGCCAACAGACTAGTTTATTAGAGATAAACTCATATCTTTACACAAAGTTGATTCAAACAATAGGATCATTGTGAAATGAAGCCAATGATAGGTGTTAAAGGAGACCTAAGATTTAGAAGAGAAAAACATACTGTCTTAATAAAAAATGTAAAATCAATACAGGCATATTTTGCCAAATACATAGTTTTGTCCAAACATCACTGTAATCAACAATGAAAACATAAAGTTGGAACTTGTGTGTGTGTGTGTGTGTGTGTGTGTGTGTGTGTGTGTGTGAAGTACAAAGGACTCTGCAAGCTTATGAATTCAGTTTAAAAAACTTTTAGCTATGGTTTAGTAAAGAAAAGACTAAGTAGAAAAATTGTCAAGTTGCATAAAAGATTTTATGTTGAAGAACACAGGCTTCTTTGCTAGATAACAGCATAGTAAAATCAAAGGGAGCAATTTGGAGAAAGATTAAAGTCATTAAAAAATGATGCTGCATACAGTGCGTAGGAAAGCTAGAAGAATTAATGATAAATTCATGACAAACATGGAATAGATCGAACATTTGCGTATAGAAAAAACAATTTGATGAAAATCATGAATAAATAGGTCAGTGATCTCTCAACTAAGATAACCTGTGACAACCTACATTCTAAGGTTACTACCAGAGAGCTAGGGAGGCTAGCTTCTCTCTCTGACCCTACTTCAGGGAAAATTCTAAACAACAATATTTGCAGCTTCAAAAACTATGTTGGGATTTGACTCAAATTTATGAATCTATGATCAGGTCAGGTCAGAATATGCTGAGTTGTATTGATCAGTTTACGATATAAAGACTAAAAGGAAATGAGTTTCATGCCTAAACATTTGAAAGCTCAGTACTGGAATGTTAGACTCAGAGACAACTAAGTCCTGAAAAAAAATTAAAAAAAGATTAAACACTACCTTAGAACAGCATGAGATACATTTATAAACTCTCCACACCATGTGTTTGTTCCTATTGCTGCTGCAACAAATTAAATTACCGCAAACTTTAGGGTCTAAACCAACATAAATGTATTATCTTACCATTCTGAAGATCAGGAGTACAAAACTGGTATTATTCAACTAAAGTTCAGGTGTTAGAAAGTCTGGTTTCTGCTAGAGGTTCTGATGAGAGAACCTATTTTCTTGCCACTTTTCTGCTTCTGGTGGCCATATGTATTTTTCTGTGGCTTCTTCTTCCACCTTCAAAGTGGTTGCAACCACTTTGAAGAGGTTGGAACTCCAGCCTCTACTTCAGTCATCATATCACCTTGCCCTTTGCCTCTGATTCCTCCAGCACCCCTCTTATAAGAAACCTTGTGATTATATCAGGTCCACCTGAATAATGCATATTATTTGCCTTTCAAAATCCTTAACTTAATCCCATTTGCCAAGTCCCTTTCATACTATAAAGATAACATTCTCTGGTTCAAGGGGTTGTGATGTAGACATATTTGGGAGCCATTATTTAGCCAACCTTACTTATAGACCTATACAACCTATATACCACAATCCGTAGAACAGGGGTGTGTGTGTGTGTGTGTGTGTGTGTGTATGCAAATTCATAAGTTCATATTTTAATAACAATAAATATTATTCAAAATTTATATCCCATTTCTGGGCCACTGCATTGAACCTAACCCTTTGAGGATAATTGACATATATTTTTAAATTTAAAGATTAGAATATGGTATTAACCATGAAACTCAGATAGATATGTATGCATTTTAGGAGGGCATTGCAGTGCTCTAGTACACTGTAACAAAATACGTTTTTATATAGTATAACCTTGGGAAAAAAGGAGAAATCAAGCTTTTACTTATGCCTTTTTCAGTGAATTCCAAGTTTATTGGGTCATAAATTGCTAGGATAAAGTCAGACATTGTAAGTGAAAATAGGCAGATTTTTCTCTAATCATTGCTAATGAATTCCTAAAACCTCTTAGAAAACAAACTGAAGAGAAATCCGTAGGGAAAATACTTCAGATAATTCATCTGAGATATCAATAGAATAGTTGATGAGTTCAAGTTTTGGTTCACTATCAGGACACGGAAAGGACGCTGCCAATTCTCTAACTGCTATTGTGATCTTTTCAAGTTAATTTAATGTAGTTGAATCATGCTTGAATTAATTATTGCCAAGTTCTTTAGAAAAAAATGCTATTCTCGTGATTTAATGGTATAAGGTTGGAGGGTCCCTGAAAGAAGGAAGACACTTGCAAATAAAATTAACACCATCATTTTCTGTGTGTGAATATTTTGATATTCATTATCTATTGACACTATAAAACCAAATAATAAGAACAACAACAACAAAAACAATTCTTGGAAGACCAAAGTGGTATATAATAATAAATCATTTACTTATCTAGGGTGGTTAGCTAGGAAGTAATCTTGCCTGAGATTGCTCACACGTCTGGCTGTCAGTGGATCTGTCAGTTGACATTAGCTGGGACAAATGGGACAATTTGACTCTGATCCATGCATTTCTTACCCTTCAGCAGGTTAGCCTGGGCATGACTTCAGGATGGCAGAGGCACAAGAAAGCAAGCAGGAAGATACAAGTGACCTCCCAAACTTTTTCGGGTGTTGAGACGAACAACGGTCAATATCCAAAGCAAGTTTCAAGTCTAAATCTGGAGGCACAGTGAGAATGAACAACAAAATTATGAGCCGTTAATTCACTCAGTATAGGACATCCGAAAGCCAGAAAATGTGCTTGTATAAATTTGAACATTTGCTTTAATGAATTTATAAAAATTAATTAAAAATACTCAAAAAATGTTTTAAGGTCACAAGCAAAAAGCATCTTTTCATAAAATGATGATAAAATATAGAATTCTACGCAGATTGCTTTTACACATATGTGGTAAAATAATTTTGTTTCCATTTCAATTTAACAAAATATGACCCCCATATTGAATCTAATGACAAATTTTTACATTTAAAAATGCCTTAAAATGTTCATTAATATCATAATACATCATGTGGATATTGAGGATATTAACAAACCTGAAAATGAAATAAGACTTCTCCTCTGTCTGTTTCAAAACAAACTAAATTTAATATAATATTACTTACTTAATAAAAATTTAATGACTATTGTTGATTATACCTATTTTGCAAGTGCTTAAGTTTGTTGTAGTTGGTTCATTTAAATAAACCAATTTTCAAGGCTTTTAGAATTCATATAATGGAAATTTCAGTTTAGCTTTCTCAGGTATTGCATTTCCTACACATCTGTTATTTCTTTCTGAAAAAATACAGTATTTTTTAGTATTTCTCAAAACAAGCATAATGTGGATCATGCACAACACAGCTCATTACAGGCAGTATTTCATTGTATAGAAATATGTGATGATTTCAGCATTCCATCCTTGTTCTTTCATTCACAAAAATATATTGAATATGTGCCTCTTCTACATTCTGGGAATATAGCAAAGAACAAAACAAAGTAAAAACTGGTATTATTTCCAAATATATGTTTTGAATTTGGTTTGGTTAACTAAAATTATTGTATTTTTGTCTTAAATTTTAATCATTTTTATATACCTTTAGACACTATTTTAAAAACTGTGAAAAATAAATATTTTAACTTTATAAGTATACAAGTGTGTTTTATCTCTCACTCAAAAGTTATATAAGTAGGAATCCCTCCATTAGGGTGTTAATCCATTCTTGCACTGCTATAAATACCTAAGACTGGATAATTTATAAACAAAGAGGTTTAATTGGTTCATGGTTCCACAAGCTGTACAGGAAGTGTGGCAGCATCTGTTTCTGGGGAGGCTTCAGGGGTATTTTACTCATGGCAGAAGGTAAAGCAGGAATAGGCATCTACATGACAGGATCAGGACTAAGACAGAGACAGAGTGGTGCCACATACTTTTAAACAACCAGATCTCATAAGAACTCTATTATGAGAACAGCACCAAGGGGATGGTGCTCAGCCAGTCAAGAAGGATCCACCCTCAAGTGCCAGCCACATCCCATCAGGCCTTACCTCCAACATAAGTAATTACAATTGAACATGAGATTTGGGTAGGGACACAGATCCAAACCATATCCGTTAGGTAGGAAAAAGTAAAACTATTTTTACTAAAGCCTCAGTTTAAAATTAATGAATTCAAATTGCTACACATCTTCCTCAGGTAATACTTATTTCTTTTTACCTCCTTGAAATTAGAAGCTGGAAGAGACTAGTCTTATAGTGTCATTGCAGCCCAGGATTGCTTCACTCCACCTCCAACTATTCTATTTCTTCATGGAATTATTTGTATAGAATAACACAGATGTAGAACTGGATAAACATCGCTCTTCACCATACTAGCTGATTGCCCATCTTTGTCAAAGAGGTGAATACAAATATGTAACGTTACTAAAAAGCCACTTGTGTCTGAGAGGCTCTGTGCACCTTTAAGTAGAGTTCACAGGAGTCACAAACTCTATATAAATGACGTTAAAGTCGTTTGTGGTCCCTTTCACTTTCTGTGACGATTTTGCTAAGATTTATAATCCCACTGTTTGGAAGCCAACCTTCTTGACTATTCAATGCATAGTAAGATAAATTGCTATTTTTCTTTACCAATGAAAGGAGCTGCCTTTTAATTTTCTACATCCAGGCTGTGACACTAGCTTTCAAATCTTTTTCATTTTGTTTTGTTCTCACTTTTTTTTTTCCCTAGAAACTATTCTTGGCACAGATACTTGTTTCACAGAAGTCCCATAAGATGTTGCATTTTACTGAATAAGGTTAAACAATACATCACACTCAGGAAATTTGTATTGTAACAGAAACATCCTATTTTTTAATGTCTTTGTAACTAGACCTACTCAATTCCTCAAAAAGAAATAAGGAGTGTAGAGGAAAGGCAAAACTCTGAGGCTTGAAAAACTAAACTCTGAGTTGTCCATTATACAATTATTTATTAAATATTCTTAAGAACCTTTGAGAAAGACTTTATTTAACCATCCAAGCTACAACAAACTCAACTACCTGCAAAACAGGAATAATAAGAAAAGCCATATCTACAGAGACGCTGAGAATTTGAATAAGAATCATCTCCATAATCATTGTAAAAACTGCTTGAGTTCTTTTGGGGAAGAAAAGTGTATTCAAATTGTGATACTAATATGAACTTCTGAGTTTGAGGAGTTTGTAACTATATTTAGAAGTTAGTCCTTGAATTATTCTTTAGCTTCCGTCCAAGCACTGGAACCATTTTTTTTAAAGCCATTTCTGTTTTGTACCAGACCAGAGACCTTTCCAATCATGGGGTTTAAATGAAGTCGATATTAATTATATGTCTTTGAATATTTTTAAAGAGAAAGAATGCTAGTATAATCAGTCAAGGGCCAGGTCACAGACCACTTCACATACATTGACTGCCACCATAAAGAGGGAAGCTCTTCATAAAAATATCATGTGAAAGGATGGCTGTTTCATGATATTTTCAAATATCTTGTGAAAGGATGGCTGTTTCATGATGGCTGCTTCATGTTTTAAACATAAACTGTTTTAACTTGGGTCCTCACATAATCTATTTGATCATTAGTACAATAGGATAATAATAAATCAACTGACCAATATATTCAGGCACAAATTATACAGATGTTCATGCCAGTCTTTGGAGCAGTTTATTGTTAGATAAATCATATATATGGGAAAAGTAAAATAGAAGGCTGACAAGAGGGCAAGTGTGTTAATAAAAATGAGAGTTAATTGTAGCTGTGAAAAACAAGGGCGTGAGAGCCGTCAGAAAGTAAAAATAAAATCTCGCAAGTAATAAAAGAAAGCATGTCCCTATGGTATTCATTGTGAAATGTAGGACTAGTCAATCAAATCAATTTTGGTTTGCTAAAAATATAAACACTTAAAATTTAAATTTAATTCAAGATTTTCTTCTAAGTCCAAAATTTTTTTTCTTACATATTAGGCATTTAAACAGCTTATCTTACTCTAATTTAAACATGCTGCTTTAAAAACTTTTTTATTAAGGAATCTAGCATACTTAGAGCTGAAAATAATATTTCTGCCAGGGTATGCAAAGGAATACTGTCCTGAACAGTGCATTACAGTGTTTCATGCGAAGTGAAAGTCACAAAATGCCCAGCATAGCATCTTCTAGAAATACAGCATTTGTTAGACATAGATTGATAGCAAAAAAGAAATGAATACATATTCTCCCAGGGAATTAGAGCATCTGCAATACAGCCTGAGAGAAAGATAAACAGTTGCACAGCCTGACAAATTTTTTCTGACAAGCATATGATGAAATATAAGAAAGTTTGTCTAGGTCAAAAAGCCAATACTTCCTTCAACAAAACCAAACATCACAGAAGGATGGATAGACCACAAGATCAGATATATATGACTAATTTTCTAATTTTCAAAATCAATTAAAAAATCTCTTTGTCCTGGAGGTAAGTACTCATGCACACTTGATGTCAGATCCTAAGAACTTCTGTGAGAATTCCTAAGTATTATCCTAATCAATTTTGAACTGCATAGCCTGTCAAGGTTTTCCTTCCTGTAGTTGAATCTGAGAATCTATGAATCTGTAAAACTATAAACTGATGCTGATCTGACTCTTTCGAGTTTAATATCTAAGCTGAAATGTGTAATTTCTGAACCATGCATGTTGATAATGCTAATTCAATTTACTCACTTGACAAACCTCATGATCTCAGGAAATCTTTTGATTTATGAGACACTGAAATGCCACATTTAAACAAGTAGGCATTGCTTGTTGTGAGATTCTGCTAATCTTTTTACATACTAATCATTCTACAATGTTGTCTACAAAATTCACAAATTCCAGATAATTATTATATATGTAGCAACACCCCTTACTTGAATAATAGTGTATTTATGAAACTTGAGTGGCTTACAAACTCTTCTCTCTTCTTAGAACTTTTTCATTGATACTGGACATTATATAAATTTTTGTCATTACTTTTAATGGCAAAAATCACAATTACTTTTGCACCAGCCTAATAAAGTACTATAATTCTAGGTGAAGTAAGACTTTAGATATGTTTGTGATCTGAGGTTGTAATAATCATATCAGTGGCTTTGGCTGTATGTCGTAGCCATGTTTTTAAATTCTGTTTATTTAAGACCATAGACTTCACTGTGTTGTTGTCTTCTTTTATTACTTCATAGGGGCATTTAAATAGATTGATATTCATTTTTTTAGAGAAAACAACTTTTTGGTAAGTGGATAGTTTCTTCTAAGAATTACTCTTCTTCAGTTATAATTATTGCTTATTTCTTTTCTTCTATAATAGATATATAAAGACATGAAATTAATAATATAAACCAAAGCAAGTACATATAAGTGAAGTATTTCTGAACCATTAGGTACTACCTGTTTTTTGAGGTAAGTGAATCATAATATTAAAAGCTGAGTTTTACTATGCATATATTACAAAAAAAATCTTTTTATGGAAATTACTAAGTTAACATCATCACTATTTTCTCAGACTATCTCATTTCTGAAATTGCAATTTTAACTTGTTAGTGTAAAACAGAAACTGTCTGCAGCAGGTCTCAAGCAATTAGAGGTTTATTTAGCCAATGTTGAGAACACCCCTGGGGATAAAAACATAAATCACAAGGTGTATTAGTCCATTTTCACGCTGCTAATAAAGACATACCTAAGACTGGGCAATTTAAAAAGGAAATAGGTATAATGGACTTACAGCTCCTCGTGGCTGGGGAAGCCTCACAATCATGGTGGAAGGCAAGGAGGAGCAAGTCACATCTTAAGTGGATGGCAGCAGGCAAAAAGAGAGTTTGTGCAGGAAAACTCTGCCTTATAAATCCATGAGATCTCATGAGAATTATTCACTATCATGAGAACAGCATGAGAAAGACCAGCCCCTATCATTCAATTACCTCCACCAACTCCCTCCCATAACATGTGGGAATTCAAGATGAGATTTGGGTGGGGACACAGCCAAACCATATAACGGGTGTCTATGACCTGTGCTTTTTCCAAAGCAGGTTGTGGGAACTTCAGTATTTAAAGGAGAAAGAGCAAGCAGGAGGGAAGAAATAGAGAGGGAGGGCAGGCAGTGAAACAAATGGTTACATTCTTGTGAGACCCTGATTAACCTCATTAAATCTACATTTTTTTTTACATGCGAAATAGCAGAGTAGAAGAAAAGGTCAATTATGCATTGTCTCCTGCTGAGTAAAGTTACATATTACATCAGATAAAGTAAACATGTTAAAAGAGGGAGCAGAAGAAAAAGTCAGTTATGCATTGTCTCATGCCCAGTAAAACTACATTTTACATAAGATGAAGTAAGCAGGTGAAATTACAGCTATCTGGGAACAAAAGGAAGAAGTATTGGTGACTCAGTTCTCAGACTTAACTTTCCCTTTGGCATAGCAACTGTGGGGCCCCAAGATTGTATTTTTCTTGCACATTAGAAACTTATTTTCCATACTCATTCCCCAACATTAACTAATATTGGCATTTGGTAGACTGTATTTCAGTTGATACCATGGGTCTAACAAATCATTGAATATTAATTTTAACATATTATTAAAACTAAGGGCACTGTCTTTGGAAAACATTATCAAATAGGTAAACATGGCAAATCAAAAGAGATTTTAGAAACACCTGCACTACTTCCAAATTTTCATAGTTTCCAGTGGTGTGAATAGCCTCTCAGTGCAAGCTGATACTGTAATGCTACTTCTCAGCAGTAGCTGTAGACTAATGATATGAGAAAGACAGAGTATGCAGGAACTATTTGAATGCATTAAGCCACTTTGAAATAAAACAGAAAAAGACCAAATAATAGAACTCTTCTATTACAGACTTGAAAATTCCTTCTAAGATCATTTTGATATTTTCACTTTTTCTTTTACAGATATTTTAAAATTACATTGGAATTTTTATGGACATGCCGTGTGTATAGTAAGAAATCATATATTCAATCATACTTTCTATTCTTAATATTAAAGGTGCTTTTCCAAAATACATTTCTATATTTGAAAGCTGCTGATTTGAATATGCAATTAAAATCAATTTAGGGAAGCAGGGTTTATTTGATGAAACACTATCTGTTGGAGAAACCAGCCCCACACCACCCAGCGGGTACTCCGAGTCCGGAGGAGACAAAGGAGTTAGAAAGAGACAGAAGAAGCGTTTAAAAGGCATGTCCAGGGGACCTGAGCTTCGGAGCCTTGCTCAGGGCCCAGAGCTCTCGGGCTCCACCCAACTTATTGGTTTACAAGCTCTTTGTTCTTAGGGCAGATGGGAAGGGGAGGAAGGGATGAGGAAAAGGATTAATCAGTGAAGGAGAACTGGTGAGTCATTCGGTAAGATGTATAGCAGTGGCGGTTTCTGTGAATTTCCTTGAGCAAAGGTGTGTGTCTAAACTACCTAAGATCTTCAACTTATCAGGACTGAAACGGGTGGGAGTGGGTTTCAGGAGGAGCCAAAATGTTTGATTATACTCCCTGCTTCAAGGGAGTGTTATCTCCCCCAGCAACCTGTGGAACGCCGCTGAGCGGTTATGCTCTAGGGGCATAAAGACATGAAGGCAATAAGGAGACTGTTCTCCTCAGAGGCCGCCCATGGCTTCCCATGGGTGTCTCACACAGGGGAGACCAACTCACCTGGCACCCCAGAAACTCTCTTTCCCACACTATCTTTGCCAGTGGAAAAACTAGCAATTTCAACTGGAACTGTTAATTTTATATTTACTGTTTGATCATTCACCCTAAAACATGAAAGTTACCTTCAGTACTATCATCAGTTCATAAAATCTTCACTAACTGGTCTAACCTATTCTTCCATTTCCTGCTTCGTTTATCTTTACATCAAAATATATTGTATGTTTATTTAATTTCTGTATCCCTTCAGGAAATTTAAGTTCAAGAAAGCAGGAAATTTGTGTATAAGTACTGTATCTATCATGGGTGCCCAAGAAATAATATTGGAATCACTTCCCTGGTTGAAACAGTCCATCTGGGAGTCAATATTTACTTTAAAAATATTACCTAACAATTACTTCAGATTATAATACTTTTTTACAAAAATAATGTACTCCTCATAAAACAAAGTTTATTTTGTATGCAAAATGGTGATTTACTACTAATTTTGAAAGATTTGTTCTATTTTCAAGCCATCCAAGACAATGTTGAAATAATAGGCAGGATCCAAAAAGAAGACATGAAAAATGAACAATATATCTTTCATTATTTGTCGAATAATCAACTGTATTATAGCAAAGGGTGTCCTTTATTATTAGTTTCTCAGTGAATATTGTGCCAACAAGGACAGATGGCCAAGCAACACAGACAAACATCTGGCCACCTGGAGTGGTGTTCACTAGAGAAAACTATGGACATAGAATCAGTAGCAGGTGACCTACTCTTGGCTTTACCATAACAATCCAGCAAATCAGACATTAGACCCAGAAATCATGGCCATTCTCCCTGTTGAGAGCAGGCTAAGGATATAAGAACAATATGGTCTGACCTCTGTCCTGGCAGCTTACAGTTGTGGTTGACGGTAGCACCATGCTTCTCATGTTGTGCTCAGGTGTTAGAGCCTTGTGGACAACCTGACACTGTAGTGGTAAAATGTACTGTATTTCCCCATGTTCTGGTGTAATTGGATATAAAGTGTGGGATGGAAGTACCAGCATCAATGTGTAATGTCTGACAAGGACTAGATGGTTTTCTTGGAGCACTATAAGAAACTATTTCCTTTCCTTGAAGTGGAACCCATAGAGGATGAATTTGGGACAAGTTAATCTTCACCACTCAGCAAAATATAAAATTGGTGATGTTACTACATAGGAATAAAGACGGAAGCTTTTGAAAAAGCAATGAGGCTTGAAATAGAGGAAGTCAAAAAGTAGGCTATGGAAAATTTTACAAATATTACACATATGAAAACTTAGAGAATATTTTTTAAATTTGCATAAATCTTAGCAATTTGTATTCACTTACTAATAAAGTGTTATTTAAAAACAATTTTCTGATTTAGTAAGAAAAAATACATTTTGATCAATTATTCTGGATGATAATATAAACTATGCTTTTTTTCCTCTACTCGGAAAATAATACATATAATAACATTTAATTAAAAGTGCAAAAAAGTGTCAAAAATACGTAAAGTTATTAAGTAAAGCAAATATGTTATTTTTATGGACTTCATGAAGTTCGTAGTATTTATAAAACTTTTAAAAATTTATAATTTATCATGATACATCATTTCATTTCAAATAGTCACACTCATATTTAATTTGGTAACTTAAATTCTTTATTAATTTTTAAAGGGATATCCCCAAACCTGGAATTACCTCTGTTAGTAAGTACTTTTAAAAATAATAATTTCAGTTTATTTGTAGCTAAAATTTATTTTATACAATCTGCTTTTAGTAAAACTTTCACTTGTTAACATGTACACCAAAATTCAAAAAACAAGGCCAGATAGGCCTTTTTATATTGTATTGAATAACTAATTTCTCTGCTCACCATCAGAGTGCAATATTCTTTAATACAGTCACCTTGAAATTGAACTTGTACTTTTCTATTTTATCTAAGATAAGAAATAAGGCTGTCACATATATCACGTTCAACCTACCTTAGTGTAAAGGATAAAGGTTATATCATCTCAGAAATGAAAATGTCAAATATCAGAGTTAGGTTCAATTATCTCTGAAAATAAATTTCTATAAATGGGCATTTGATAATAGTGAAATTCACAGAATAGAATTATAAACAGTTCTGGTTTTTAAATCATCTTTGAAAAGGCATATACTACTGTATACATTTCAGATGAATAACATAAAAAGCAAACACATGAAATTCATTAATACAGAACAAATTTAATTAGATTGTTTAAAAGTCATAGGCGTGTATTTTCTTCCTCAATGTATATTTTCGGTTAAAAAATAAGTATAAAAATGCTTATACAAGAATTATAATTCCAAATTAATAGCAAATCATCAGGCGCTAAGTTCTAGGAATGTGTGCATAATATACAGTCATTTCTTTCTATTTTAATATTGAGTTAAACATTTTAATGGATTGGTAATTTCCTTCTATGCTGAGTCCTGTTTGCTTCCTCAAATGGAGTATTAGAAATTAATGAGGTAGTATCTGGTGCTTATGGCACTAAATAACCTACTCCCTTTGCCTTATTTGTCTTCACAAATAAGTTACATATCCAGAGTGTCATCTTTCAATTATAACAGTTACTTTGATACTCAGGAATCACTATATATTCAGGTAAGCTTAAAAATTACAAAATAATAATTTTAAAAAAACCTTGAAGAGATCTCTGTAGGGTCCCTGAGCATTTCAACAGTTGAGGGGCATAAGTAGAATGAATTAGGACAGAGGGACTTTCCAGCTCATGGGTACTGCTGGCACAATGTGTGTTGCTTAGAGTACCTGGAGTCTTGAATGTCCCCTGGCCAAAGATTAGACACAATAATGGCCGTGCTGTGAAACCAAACCCGTTTTGTTGTGTTTGTTTATTCTCTTTGATTTAATTACTTAAGCATTTGTGGAATTTTGAAATTCTTGAGAGAAAGATCTCCTTTATTACCTACCTCAAACAATTCAATTCCATAAATACTTTATTAAAGATATACTATATTTCTAGACTTACACTGAAGGTTGGAAAACTAGTTGACTGTGCATCTGTAGAAATCGGAGTCAAGAAAGAAAGCATGTTAATATTAATGATATTATATTCAACATTAAAATATCAACACACTATTGACAATATTATCATATAAAATATTAATAGTATAGCTAGTACCTGAGTAAATGATAATAAATTTGGAGTTGCTAAAAAAATCAACCCTAGGTGTCAAATAAATTAAAAAGTAAACAAAGGAATTAGGGCAACATATGGACCTTATCTTTTCTGGCTTAGTGCACCCATACAAATTACTTTATTACTTATTATAAACGAATAGAAATATCAATCTCTAAAATAGTCATTTTCAAAACACACTCTTAAACATTTAAATGCAATTGCATGAAATTTAGCTTAGGTTAAATATTGCTAATTTCTAGTTCCACAGTTCCAGCATAATAATTGAACAAGTAAGTCGCTTGAGTTGACTTAGGATAAATTACATAAAATGTCTTACAAAGACATTTGAAACACACTGAGGCTTCTATATAATGAGAAAAACAAATTTCCTAGAAAATATTTCTCAACATTTCTGAAACCCTGATTAAATGTGTTAATCAAAGAATGCTAAAAACCAGTGGAGTCTTCTACATTGACACACCAGGCATCTAATTTAGAATAATAACTACATGTCTTTCTTACTTCACAGCTTAATGAACAATAAGACGATTTATTCTAAAGCACATTCATTTCCTGCATTTCAAGTACAGCAGGAATAAAGAAAACCATTTATGTTTGTTGCATGTTAATATATTTACTGTCCTCTGCACCCAATCACCATGGCAAATAAACAATTCTATTTCCCCCAGCGGTATTATGTTATGAGATCAGACAGCTTAATATTAAGACAAATAATATTATTTGAATTAATTATTTTTGGATTCCCCAAGCTACTAAATGGAACTAATTCTTTACCAAAGATCAGAAGAGATTAATTATTTGGCACAAATGGCTAAGCTAGGGGATTTGGATCCTCAGAGATATCCTTACCCTGGAAAAAAATATCGTGAAAGCATTCCAGGAGCTTCAGTGAGATTATTTCCCATCATAAAAATAGGCTTAGATGTTGCATACATCAAGAATTGTTAATACAAAGTAAGTAAAATTTTTCTACTACGGTATTACTCAATGTAGCCTACAGAGGAGCAGGCTAAGTTTGCAATTCATAAACCAGTTCTTTTATATCAGTTATTAATTTTAGGTGTTCATTTTATTCAGGAAAATGCTACATACAACTCATCTCAAATGTACCATGGAAATAAGTAAGGCCTGGGTGATTCTCTGGGCATCTCAATTGACCACGATATTGGAGAGTTGGAGGAGTTACCATCATGAATAGCACAGAGCACATGTTGTATTTTCTTCAGTGAGAGTTTGTGGTTCTAGATATTTATTGTTGTTGAAAATATCTGTCTTAAAATACAGCATATCCTACAAAACCCTGTTTTGATTTAGTTAGATAATAATTTGAGTTATAACACTTTTAAAGTAATTTGTAGGATTTAAAATAACTTACCAATCTTACGTTAATAGCAACAGATTCTCAATGGTAAAGGGAGAAAAATTATATATTAAAAATCTCAATACAGGATTGTCTTGGCTATGCAGGCTCTTTTTCATTTCCATATGAACTTTAAAGTAGTTTTTTCCAATTCTGTGAAGAAAGTCATTGGTAGCTTGATGGGGATGGCACTGAATCTGCAAATTACCTTGGGCAGTATGGCCATTTTCACGATATTGATTCTTCCTATCCATGAGCATGGAATGTTCTTCCATTTGTTTGTGTCCTCTTTTATTTCATTGAGGAGTGGTTTGTAGTTCTCCTTGAAGAGATCCTTTATATCCCTTGTAAGTTTGATTCCTAGGTATTTTATTCTCTTTGAAGCAATTGTGAATGGGAATTCACTCATGATTTGGTTCTCTATTTGTCTGTTATTACTGTTTAGAAATACTCGTGATTTTTGCACACTGATTTTGTATCCTTATCAAAACCACAATGAGATACCATCTCACACCAGTTAGAATGGCCATCATTAAAAAGTCAGGAAACAACAGATGGGGGGGTTATGGAGAAATAGGAACCCTTTTGCGCTGTAGGTGGGAGTGTAAATTAGTTCAACCATTGTGGAAGACAGTGTGGTGATTCCTCAAGGATCTAGAACTAGAAATACCATTAGACCCAGCAATCCCATTACTGGGTATATACTCAAAGGATTATAAATCATTCTACTATAAAGACACATGCACATGTATGTTTATTGTGGCACTATTCACAATAGCAAAGACTTGGAAACAACCCAAATGTCCATCAATGATAGACTGGATAAAGAAAATGTGGCACATATACACCATGGAGTACTATGCAGCCATAAAAAAGAATGAGTTCATGTCCTTCGCAGGGGCATGGATGAAGCAGGAAACCATCATTCTCAGCAAACTAACACAGGAACAGAAAACCAAACAGCACATGTTCTCACTCATAGATTGGGATTGAACAATGAGAACACATGGACACAGAGCGGGGAACATCACACACCGGGGCCTGTCAGGGGGTGAGGGGCTGGGGGAGGGATAGCATTAGAAGAAATACCTAATATAAATGACGAGTTTATGGGTGCAGCAAGCCAACATGGCACATGTATACATATGTAACAAACCTGCACATTGTGCACATGTACCCTAGAAATTAAAGTATGATTAAAAAAACCTCAATATAGTGATAACAGATAACTGTTACTTAATTATTCTAAATAAAAATTGTATAATTTTAACAAGAGTCACAGATAGTTTTCAGTATGACTTTAGTACAAAGGAAAATGAACAATTAAAGATTTTTTTATTTCCCAGAATATGTGCATTTGAATAAATAGTTTTCAATATAAATAATGTCATAGTCAAAAGCATAGTTGATAATTTGGATATTAGTAAGAAAAGGAAACAAAAAACAAAAATATAGCAACTCAAAAAACATAATTTTTGAATTATGTTTCTAATACCTCTTGGCTTAATTTTTCAGTGTAAATTATTTTATTTTCCTGTTTAAATTTATTCATCTATAAAATATGCATTTAATAATTTATTCATCTGTAAAACATTACTATTCCAATATAGTCTTAAATACATCACAGAAAAGCTAACTGGACTAAGGTTTGATATCAGTGCCTTCTAGTTTATGCTTTTCATTTGAAAAATGAGACACTGGAGATAGATCTATTTAAAATATTTAGTAAAATATCTTATGAAACCATTTGAAATTGCAAACCAGCTACATAGCAGAAAAAAATTTTCATATATACATTTTTTACATATGTATACATATATAGTGCTTAGACCCTCGAACAATTTGAATCTGTAGACACACTTTCTAGCCTCCAAGTAAATTTTGAAACCCAGGGGAATGAATACCCAGCAGATGGCTACATAAACATAGCACTCAGATAGTTGAGTAGTTCCTTTACATTGCCATCTGCCTTGTAATCCTTTCAGAGATTGAAATCTTTCAACTATAAAATGTTCTGCCAAGATTTCAGAATGCCCATCAGCTTGACTAACAGGTAAGAAGAAATCTGCAATGGATAAAACATTCCTTAATATAAATTTTCTAGAAAAAAATTAATATATTTAAAATTAATTAAATGTATTATTATGTCAAGCTTTAGTAGAACAATTGCACTTACAGTCACATAGCCATCTGCTAGTATTTGCATAGTCATACCTCCTGGGTTTCAAAAACTTATTCCACAAAGATCACAGTGTTTGTCAGTGTACTTGCACACCTGTCAATCAGTTCTGGTCTCTAAATATGCAGAAAATAAATGTAGGGCAGAGGAGAAATCGACTTAGGTTTCTTAATGTGTCAAAAGTGATTCATAATTCCAATCAATGATGAAACAGAGCATTTTAGATTTCTTTATTATACTGGTTTTTATTAATTTAAGACACTAAAACCATTTCTAATGTTTGTTTCTATATTATTTTAAAACAGGTGAGGCCAGGTAAGTTGGCTCACTCCTGTAATCCCAGCACTTTGGGACACTGAGGCGGGCTGATCATGAGGTAAGGAGTTCGAGACAAGCCTGGCCAACATGGTGAAACCCTGTCTCTACTAAAGACACAAAAAATTAGCCGGTCATGGTGGTGAGCGCCTGTAATCCCAACTACTCTGGAGACTGAGGCAGGAGAATTGTTTGAACCTGGGAGGCGGAGGTTGCAGGGAGCCAAGATTGCACCATTGCACTCCAGCCTGAGCAACAGGGCGGGCTCTGTCTCAAAAAAAAAAAAAAAAAAAAAAAGAGAAAAGCTGGGTGTAGCAGCTCACGCCTGTAATCCCAGCACTTTGGGAGCCTCAGGCAGCAAGATTGCTTGTGGCCAGGAGTTTGAAACGAGCCTAGGCCACATAGAGAGACCCTGTCTCCACAAAGAATAAAAATGAACTAGTCAAATAAGGTGTCTCTGGCTAGTAGTCTTAGCTGCTAGAGAGGCTGAGGCTGGAAGATTGCTTGAGCCCAGGAGTTCAAGGTTACAGTGAGCTGTAATTATACCACTGCACTTTAGCCTGGGTGACAGCAAGACCATGTCTATAAAAGTAAAAATAATAAAAAAGTCAATAAATATATTTTTTAAATGGGGGAAAATATATCTTTCCATGCAAAATATGTACTAAGAGTTATTAATGATTGTTAATATGAGAATGTTTTTGATATCTATTGTACTATCTACTCAATATATATATATTTTTTTTCTATAATACAAGGATATATGTAAACATATATGTATTTGTTTATTCTATAAAACTAAACCAGGATATGACCCTGACTGTTCTAAAATTGGAAAGTCGTAGGCATCAAGCACTGTATTTAAATTTGTGAGTATGTATGTGTATATGTGTGTGTTTATGTGTATGTGAGTGTTTGCATATATACAAACTACAAACATTGTCCAGTAATCATTTGCTATTTTTTGTTCCTAGAAACCTGCACAATGAAAGGGTAAAAAAGGATTTGCAATGAAAATTACAAAATAATTAGAATTCGATAGTAATAAAAATGTACATCTAGCTAAAGAGTATTCATAGGCAAATTTAGAGCATTGATACCTGCATTAAAAATGAGAATAGATATAAATAAAAAGAAGTTAAAATAAAATAGCATATTTAAATCCAAGTTTGTAAGATAAATAAAACATGAGAAAGAAACTTAAAAAACAAAAGTTAGTTTATTAAAAAATAATAAAATAATAAAACCCTAGAAAATTGCTCAAGATTAAAAAAAAAAAACCACAAACTATCAATATCAGGAATGAGACAAAACCACCAACGTGGATCTTACATGTTAAAAAGCTGGTGAGAAGATACGATGGGCAGCTTCATTACAACTCATAAATTTCACAATTTAGCTGAAGACAACCAAGTCCTTAACAAATCCAACTTGGCAAAACAATACATAAAGAGATAGAAAAGCTATATTGTTACATATCTCTTATATAAGTTTGAACTATAGCCAAAAACCTGCAAAGAATTTCCAGGCCCAGATGTCTTTACTGGTCAATTCTTCCTAATATTTGTTTGAAATAATGATGACAATCTTATACAACCTTTGCTGGAAAACAAATAAAAGGGAAATACAAACCGATATCATTTTATGAGCTCATGCAGAATTTAGGCTTTATAAATCAAACTTTAGAAAGAATATTATAAAAAAGCAAAATTATAGGGCACTATCTCTCATGAGCTAGCCATAAAAATTCTGTGCAAAATTCTGTGCAAGAATATAGAAAAATGATAAAAATTAATCAATACACTTTACCTCTTTAATAGAATAAATGAATAAAAAAGTACTCATTTCAATAGAGGCAGAAAAACAGTTGACAGAAGTAAATATCCATAAAATATTTATAAAATAAATTATAAAAAATTACAGATTAAATGAAATATTATTAATTTAATAAAGAGTATACATATAATAGTAACTCATAGCTAACATCATACTTAATTATGAAATATTGAACACTGTCCCTTTGAGCTCATGAACAACTCAAAATGTTAATTATAATTATTTCTATTCAAATTATCCTTAACGTTCATTAAGATAAGAAGAAAAAAATGTATAAAAGCTGATTTTAGAAGGATAGATATTTACAGTAATTACAAATGACATGATTTTGTAATAGAATAATTCAAAAGAATCTACAAACTTTTAAAAGTAAAAAATAAAAGGTAATAAGTGAATAAGGAATTTAGCAAAGTCCCTGAGCAATATTCAAAACATTTAACTTTCTATTAACAGCTAATAATTAGAAAGTAAAACTTTATAAAAATCTACAAAGGTGTTAAATCTTTAGATTGAAATTGAAAAATATTGGAGAAAAACTAAGGAAGCCCTATAGCATGGAAGGATATTGTATTTATATATTTATAGATTGGATGATCCAAATCTGTTATTATTCAGATTTCTGCATTGACACAGAATACACACAGACACACAAGTACTCATATATATATATATATATATGCATATACACAATTATATATGTTTTACATATAGCTGTGCATACATATGTGTGTATATATATGTACATATGTATATATATGTACGCACACAGAGAGGGAGAGAGAGAGAGACATTTATTTTAAGGAATTGGCTCATATGAATGTGAAGTCTGACAATTTGACAATCTGCAGAGCAGACTGGCAGACTGGAGACCCAGGAAGAGTTGATGTTGCAGCTCAAGTCCAAAGATAGTGTAAAGGTTGAATTTCCTTATAAAATTTGATTACAGTATCCATTTGTGATATACTGCATATCTCTATTATGAAATCTTACTGGGAATAGTTACTAGTGTCTTTATATCTATTGAGATTAGATAACCAATTATAGAAGCTCCAGGATCATTTCAAAACACTCATCCTAAGGTTCTTTTATTCTAAAACCAATCTCAGTACCAAGATGCCAACCCATCTCAGACTATTATTTGGAGTCAATATAAGTTTAAGAAGAAGCTCAGAATGTTTTCTGTTGTTTTGGAGATAAACAAATTAATTCTGAAATTTATGTGGAAAATGCAAAGTTACTATAATAGTCTAATAGTCTTAAAGAATAACAAATTTGAGAAATCATGATATAAGGTACAAAACTTAATATAAGGATACAATTAAGACAATATGATTTTTGCATATGGGTAGATACCAGAAAAATATATATAATATATATTCTGAGTGTGAGTATGGTTGGATATTCATATTACACATATCTTTTCCCACTGCATTGCTTATAGTTTCATACTCTTAATGGTTTATTTTGATTAACAAAACTCTGTAATTATAAAACAGCCCAATATGTTGATCTTTTACTCTATGATTAGTGATTTTTGTGTTCTGTTGAAGACACAAATTTTTGAAGAGAATCCCCTTTATTTTCTTTCTATTAGCATTATTATTTTAACATTCACATTGGTCTGTCATTAATCTCAAAGTATTTATTTACATGTGTGGTTTAATATGGTGGTCATGGTTTCTGGGTTTGTTTTTGTTTTTGTTTTGCTTATAGATGTCCAATTGATACAGCACTATTTATTTCAAAAGGCAATGCTTTTCTGATGAATTGCAGAGGTGTCTGTGCCACAAAGTAGGCAATACCAATGAGCAGACTTCACTTATGTTCTGGATAAATAAAAGCCTACACAAGGAGCCTTGAACCATAGGATACCCACAACCAGTGTGAGTTGTGCCCCTTCTGAGGTAGCTTGATGAATTATTTTTAGAAATTTTCCTTAGTAATATGGTGTGAGCTTGAGGTTAAAAGAATAAGGGAAGATTAAAGAGATTAACTTATTCAGTTCAACTTCAGTTATTCACTCTGATTTCTTTCCTAGTTCTCAAAACTTCTCCCTCATAACTCTGTACTAGAGAGTCTCCCCATGAGTCTGCTCTCAATTTGAATGTAAACACTTGAGGGACATATCTGGGTTTCAATGCCTTCCTCTCTAGGTTTCGTACCCAAGGTTCTCTTTTGTGTGTGTGTGTTGTATTGTGAAATGATCGTATTGATACAAAACCTCCTTTGTGTCAAGTGTTGTGGGTTCAGAACTTTTTCCTACTATTTCCATAGAGAGGTTGGAAATTGAAAAATATGAGATTTAACTTGAATAATATATTGGATATTACCACATTTTAAATGAAATTTTGTGATTAATAATTATTTGTTAAATCAATTCTTCTTGATGTATTGTATGCTAAAACACACTGGTTGATTTTTGAAAGTTGAGAATCTAGGAGTTGACGAGATATAACAGGATACATATAACATTCCTGATAAAACAAGAAGTACAAACAACCATAAAAAATATAGTCCTTGAAGAATAACCTTATACATATGTGAACATAATTTTTTAGTTAATTGAAATAATATTAAATGTTATTTGCTTATTTATCTAAACTTCTTTTGAATATTAGGATAAGCATACTCATAGTAGACAATTGCAAAAATATACTTTGACAAAATCTCTAGATTATTAAAAATGAGTTTTGTTGCTTAAAGGTCAATTGCAATTTGTAAATGTTTACATACTTCAAAGTGAATGCTTTCTAATTGATTGCCATTTAAAAAGTATTTTACTATGAGAGCTATTTGGTTTTTGAGTTGCTTTACTTTGATGTATTTTAAAAAATCATCTTTCTTATCTGTTTTATTATTTCCTTTATTTTTTGTATAGAAACACTGGTTTAAATCATTGAAGTAGCTTCACTACTACTAATCAGAACTAAAATAATTAAATATCTAGCTATTTATCCCGGAAATGCACAAAAAAGTGTTACACTCTGACTCAAAATCCTCAAATAGGCCATACACTTCATTAGATATATATTAGAATATTTCCACCTACTGTATACTTCTCCTTATTTGTGTAACATTTTTGCTGCATTATTGGTAGATAGCCTAAAAATATATGCTCATTGCAAATACTATTTTTATTTGTTTGATGCTTTTTGTTAAAATAATAACACTAAAGATTATGGTGGAACTTTCAAAATTATATTTTTTAAAATACATACGTTTAATAGATTGAAACATGAATAATAATTTTAGAATGCATATTTTAGATTTTTTTTTGACTGGTCATGTAATAAAAAAATATGAAACGGTATTACTACATAAAAGGACCAATGTTTGGTGTTATACCCAAATCACCTATAATTGAAAAAGAAGAAAAATCAATCAAACGAACACCAGATACCCATTTTAAAAAGTCGAAGTAATAGTGTTATAATGAAATAAAAACAATAGGCTCTCAATTGTCCTAGAAGAGATTAATATAACTGGGCTGGGATATACTTTAAGGAGGTGATTTATTGGTTTAAGCGAGATAAGAAGTGTTTTGAAGGCATTTTCGTAGAAGAGAAAAATGGGAAGGCATAAAAGTTTGAAAGCAATGAAGAACAAACAGAAAAAAACAGTTTTATTGAGGGCACAGCGGAAGTTAAAATGGCTTAATAGTGTGTGTGCATATAGGAATGGGGATTGAGGTGGGCACTGTCCATTTTGTAACCGGAAATGAATTCAGTGAGCAACACAGTAACAGTAAATATATTTCAATAAAGAAAAATATGACATAAATCTATGTGAAAAGCAAAGAATAGCAGCACTGAGAAAGAAGAATTGGAGTAATGAGAGAAAGGGTATTGAAAAAAAAGCATGAAGCTATATTATCCCTATTCTGGTGAGATATACGGGAATCTAAATTAGAGGTGACAAAGACAATGGATAGAATTTATTGATCAGTTTGAAAAATATTGCCTATGAAAAACTTAACAATTTGAAAACTGTGTGAATGTAGATAATGAGCAAAAAAGAGGAGTCAAAAATGTCTCCTACATTTTGATCCTTACTGATAATGGTAGTGCATTTTATAGGGAGTCTAATTAGATGGCTTCACACTTGAAGTTGGTGAAACCATTATTATCCTACACTGTTTAGCTATTTTAATTATTACTGCTACAATTTATGAACACTGCACTATAAAGTGTATAGAAATGCATTACAATCCATATTGTCTTGAATATTTTACTGAAAAAATAAAGAATAGATGGCAAAGTCAGCATGTAAAAATAATAAAGATAACAAAAATTGATTCCCACTCTCATGGTACTAACCAACATAAACCCAACTGTGTATGATTAAACATTTAACTGTAAATAATTAAACTTAAAACTATTGGAGAAAACTGTAATAAAAGAGATGGTATTTGACATAAGATATAAAAACATTGACATAATTTTTTTTAATTAAAAGGGAAACAAATGAGGTCTCTTCATGTTACATACTAGAATACATGCAAGGTGCATTAGAAAGTTAAATTTTAAAAATAATAAAATTTATTTGATGGGTATAAGCTTTGAAAATTTAAAAACCATGTGACAAAGAACAAAGTATAATAATAATTATGAGTAGATGTAACTGCATATAATTACATTTGTAAATATTAAAAATGAAATTAAAATACATTTGGTAAACTGAAATGAATTATTTTATAAAAATTATAATGAAAACTTTGTAGTCTTAATATAACAGGCACAAACAAATAAATTAGGAAAAAAAATTGTGGCAAAAGACATCAACAGACTAGTCACATAAAAGAAAATACATATGAGTAATAACATTTGAAATGTTTTCAAAATAAGTGAAATAATGAGTAATCTGTTTGCTTATTAGGAAAACATTTCCAGCTGGTAACACTTAAAACTATACACATTGCACACAAACAGACATTCTTAAGGTCTGCTGTCAGAAGAAAATGTTTGATAAAATTTAAAGTCTTTTTGAATGAAAATTATAAATCCCTTATATTTCCAACAAGATTTTAAGAAACATATCTTGAACATTAGAAAATATCTTGAGGCTGTACTTATAATTTTAAGATAAGAATACTGTCAGAATATTTTAATTCTGCAGATATAATAACAGCTCACTTAATTTACATGAACAATATTTTCTCTGCAATGTAAAAAATTGATACAAAAAAGTAAAATATAGAAACATTAAAATGTCATATATAATTATTGGAATTATGAGTAAATTTTTTGTATCTTGCTGTTTTTGCAACTGTTGTTGTTCACTGCTAGATTTATTTACTACGCACAGTATATACCAGTTTGTCAGCTATTTTGCATATGTAATTTCGTCTGATATTCAAAAACATCCTAACATCCATGCACAATATATATCATTCCTTCTTTTGCAAATGAGTAAAATAAAAGCAGTGGAAAATATTTTAATCTAGTATTATCTTACTTTGAAACCTATGTTCTTTATACTCTCTCTGGCATTTTCTGCTTTCCTTTATTTTCTGGATATTCTATATCATTTTTATGAAAATGAATGTCTATTGAATATAAAACACCTACCATGTGTCTCAAATGGTCCTAGACTCTGCAACTCTATGTTGCTGAACATAGTTTCAAAGCAGATTTGGAACAGCAAAAATTGTTTTAACTAATTAATATCAGGGACACAGTTTTTAAAACCTTATCTATTTAATCATTTAAGTTTAATTCAATTTAAACCTTATCTGACTACAGACAAGAAACATTGACTCTAACAAGGTGAAAGAATTCACATATCCTTATCTAAATTTTTTAACTTATCATTCCATATTTATCTGAATTCCATTGTTTCTAAGAATTAGGATCCTAAGTCCACTTCACAGCCCAGACCTAAGATTAACCCCTTTACACACATCTCCACTGTGCTTTGAGTTAATCCAAAACACTGCTTCAGCCACGTTCTGTGGCTCATGCCTGTAATCCCAACACTTTGGGGGGCCAAGATGGGAAGATCGCTTGAGCTCAGGAGTTAAAGATCAGCCTGGTCAACATGGCGAAACCCTGTCTCTACAAAAAATACAAAACTTAGCCTGGAATGTTGGTGCGTACGTGTAGACCCAGCTACGCGGGGGGCTGGGGCAGGAGGATCACCTGAGCATGGGCGGTCAAGGCTGCAGTGACCCAAGATTGCACCACTGCACTACATCCTGGGTGACGCAGCAAGACCCTGTCTCATGAATAACAGAAATCACTGCTTCCTTTATACTTTACCTAAACTTCGCCTCTCTCAAAAATTCAAAAAATAACCCTGTCTCTTTCTTTGCTTGGTGAGAGGCTGCACTTTTGTGTTTTTGCTTGCCCATGCAAGAATTAAATTCAACCATTCCTTTTTTAAAAATGTGTTGATTTATGATGTGACAATTGGGAGTTTCTACAGAGATATTAACTTGGAAATCTTTGCCCCATGGAACATTGGGGTTTCTGATATTAACAGTACATGTTCTCAGAGCCTTTTGTATTCCTGATCCAGGTGTCTTTGGTCATTTCATGTTAAATTAGTTATTTAAAGGTAATTTAAATTCTAATCAATATTTACATCTCTTGCTACTAAATTTAGTAAAACCAATTTTATTAACTGAGAATTTAAAGGACACCTCTGAGATTATTCCTCTGATTTATCTCTTTAGGGAGCTCAAGAGGTAAGCCTCTGCTTTACTAATACTTTTTATCTTTTTTTATGTTCATTTAGTATAAAATGAAGATAAATGTACCTTTTTGTTGATCTATGGTTTCTTTTTCCTGATTGTCCTAATTTTCATGGGGCTTAGAAAATAGCGCTAATTTTTAAAATATTTTTCTACTTTCCTCTGTGATACAAGTAAATGGGTCTTTCTAGACTGGCAGGTGCCCCTCTCTGAGCTCTGTATCCATGTAGAGATGCTCTATCCTGATGGTCTAGATTTGACTCATTATTATGATTAACATAGTAAAACTTTGTTTCCATATTTCAGTGGCAAACATATTGCAGTTAATAATATAATATACTCTAAAAATATATTATAGATAATAGTTACAATTATTTGCATGGTGCTGATGGAAATGTCCGAAGTTTAGGAAATTTTTAACAGGTTCCACTAGAAAGTGGCTAAACTGACTTTCCCTTTTTTTGTGACAAAATTGTATTCATCTAAGTTTCCCTTCCTTCTTGCAAAGAGAATATAATTAGCCTTTTACAGTGGACTGTGACTAGCTCTAAATCTGTTCATAACCAACTTTCTTTCATACTCTTTCTCTTTGGAAACTTGGAGCTTAATTTCTAATAAAAATTACCTCATCATGTGCACCATATTGCAAGATCTAGTCTAGATAATTATATACAATATAAAATAATTATTATTTGCATTATAAGGCCTCTTAAATTTTTTGGAGATTACATGCTAATTGGTGTATAGATAATACTAATAAACATTCCCATACATTTTAAATTAAAACATAAAAACATAGGACCAGGGTGGAGAAATAACCAATACATCAAATGATTTAATTTTACTAAAATATGTTTCTGTTGTAGCTGAAGCTCTGAGTCAAGTTAGTTGTGTTGGTTGCTAAGTTACAAGACAAGGAGAAAAACTGAAATTCCAGCACTTATTTTTAAAAACTCAAGTTTTGGGATTCCCAGGCAAGATGGCTGAATAGGAATAGCTCTGGTCTGCACCTCCCAGCGAGACCAATGCAGAATTTGGGTGATTTCTGCATTTCCAGCTGAGGTACCCTGCTCACTTCATTGGGACTGGTTAGACAGTGGGTGCAGTCCAAGGAGGGTGAACAGAAGCAGGGTGGGCATCACCTCACCTGGGAAGAGTAAAGGGTCAGGGAACTCCCTCCCCTAGCCAAGGGAAACCATGAGGGGCCTGGATTTTAAGCACAAAACTGAGAGGCCATTTAGGCAGACACTGAGCTAGCTGCAGGAGTTTTTTCTGTTTGTTCGTTTGGTTTTTTTCATACCCCAGTGTCACCTGGAGCGCTAGCGGGACAGAACCATTCACTCCCCTGGAAAGAGGGCTGAAACCAGGGAGCCAAGTGGTCTTGCTCAGTGGATCCCACTCCCATGGACCCCAGCAAGCTAAGACCCCCTGGCTTGAAATTCTCACTGCCTGCACAGCAGTCTGAATTCAACCTGGGACACTCGAGCTTGGTGGGAGGAGGGGTGTCCACCATTACTGAGGCTTGAGTAGGTGGTTTTCCCCTCACAGTTTTAACAAAGCCACCAGGAAGTTCAGACTGGGTGGAGTACACCACAGTGCTGCAAAGCCCCTTTAGGCAGACTGCCTCTCTAGATTCCTCCTCTCTGGGCAGGGTATCTCTGAAAGAAAGGCAGCAGCCCTAGTCAGGGGCTTATAGATAAAACTCCTATCTTCCTGGGACAGATCACCTGGGGGAAAGGGCGGCTATGAGGACACCTTCAGCAGACTTAACATTCTTGCCTGCAGACTCTGAAGAGAGCAGCGGACCTTTCAGCACAGCGCTAAAGCTCTGCTAAGGGACAGACTGCCTCCTCAAGTGGATCCCTGACCCCAATGCCTCCTGATGGGGAGACAACTACCATCAGGGGTCAACACACACCTCATACAGGAGAGCTCTGGCTGCCATCTGGTGGGTACCCCTGTGGGACAAAACTTCCAGAGGAAGGAGCAGGCAGCAATTTTTGCTGTTCTGCAGACTCTGCTGGTGTTACCCAGGCAAACAGGATCTGGAGTGGACCCCCAGCAAACTCCACCAGAAATGCAGAAGAGGGGCCTGACTGTTACGAGGAAAACTAACAAACAGAAAGCAATAGCATCAACATCAACAAAAGGACGACCATGCAAAAACTCCATCCACAGGTCACCAACGGCAAAGACCAAAGATAAATAAATCCATGAAGATGAGGTAAAAGCAGCACAAAAAGGCTGAATATTCCAAAAACCAGAATGCCTCCTCTCTAAAGGATCACTACTCCTCCCCAGCGAGGGAACAAAATGGGGTGGAGAATGAGTTTGACAAATTGACAGAAGTAGGCTTCAGAAAGTGAGTAATAACAAATTGCTCCGAGCTAAAGGAGCATGTTCTAACCTAATGAAAGGAAGCTAAGAACCTTGCTGAAAGGTTAGAGGAATTGCTAACTAGAATAACCAGTTTAGAGAAGAACATAAATGACCTGATGGAGCTGAAAAACACAGCATAAGAACTTTGTAAAGCATACACAAGTATCAATAGCCAAATTGATCAAGCGGGGGGAAAGATTATCAGAGATTCAAGATCAACTTAATGAAATAAAGCATGAATACAAGATTAGAGAAAAAATAATAAAAATAAATGAACGAAGCCTCCAAGAAATATGGGAATATGTGAAAAGACCGGCCTATTTTGATTGGTTTACCTGTAAGTGATGGGGAGAATGGAACCAATTTGGAAAACACACTTCAGGATGTTATCCAGGAGAACTTCCTCAACCTAGCAAGACAGGCCAATATTCAAATTCAGGAAATACAGAGAACAGCACAAACATACTCCTTAAGAAGGGCAACCCCAAGACACATAATCGTCAGATTCGCCAAGGTTGAAATAAAGAAAAAAAATGTTAAGGGAAGCCAGAGAGAAAGGTCGGGTTACCCACAAAGGGAAGCCCATCAGACTAACAGCAGATCTCTCCAGAAACCCTACAAGCCAGAAGAGAGTGGGGGCCAATATTCAACATTCTTGAAGAAAAGATTTTTCAACCCAGAATTTCATATACAGCCAATCTAAGCTTCATAGTTGTAGGAGAAATAAAATACTTTACAGACAAGAAAATGCTGAGAGATTTTGTCACCACCAGGCCTGCCTTACAAGAGCTCCTGAAGGAAGCGTTAAATATGGAAAGGAAAAACCAATACCAGCCACTGCTAAAACAAAGCAAAATGTGAAGACCATTGACGCTATGAAGAAACTGCATCAACTAATGGGGAAAATAACCAGCCAGCATCATAATGAGAGGATTACATTCACACATAACAATATTAACCTTAAATGTAATGGGCTAAATGCTCCAATTAAAAGGCAAAGATTGGCAAATTGGATAAAGAGTCAAGACCCATCGTTGTGCTGTATTCAGGAGACCCATCTCATGTGCAAAGACACACATAGGCTCAAAATAAAGGGATGGAGGATTATTTACCCAGCAAACACAAAGCAAAAAAAAATCAGGGGTCATGCAATCCTAGTCTCTCATAAAACAGACTTTAAACTAACAAAGATCAAACAAACAAACAAACAAAACAAACTAAGGCATTACATAATGGTAAAGGGATTAATGCAACAAGAAGAACTAACTATCCTAAATATATATGCGCCCAATACAGGAGCACCCAGATTCATAAAGCAAGTTCTTAGAGACCTACAAAGAGACTTAGACTCCCACACTATAATAGTGGGAGACTTTAACAACCCACTGTCAACATTAGACAGATCAACAAGACAGAAAATTAACAAGGATAGTCAGGACTTGAACTCAGCAATGGTCCAAGCAGACCTAATAGACATCTACAGAACTCTCCACCCCAAAGCAACAGAACATACATTCTTCTCAGTACCACAAAGCACTTATTGTAAAATCAACTACATAATTGGAAGTAAAACACTCCTCAGCAAATGCAAAGGAAAGGAAATCATAACAGTCTCTCTGACCACAGTGCAATCAAATTGGAACTCAGGATTAAGAAGCTCACTCAAAATGTTAGACCTAAAACCATAAAAACCCTAGAAGAATACCTAGGCAATATCATTCAAGACATAGGCATGGGAAAGGACTTCATTTCTAAAACACCAAAAGCAATGGCAACAAAAGCCAAAATAGACAAAAGGGATCTAATTAAACTAAAGAACTTCTGCATGGCAAAAGAAACTACCATCAGAGTGAACAGGCATCCTCCAGAATGGGAGAAAATTTTTGCAATCTAACCATGTGACAAAGGGCTAATATCCAGAATCTAAAAAGAACTTAAACAAATTTACAAGAAAAAATCAAACAACCCCATCAAAAAGCAGGCAAAGGATATGAACAGGCACTTCCCAAAAGAAGATATTTATGCAGCCAACAGACACATGAAAAAATGCTCATCATCACTGGTCATCAGAGAAATGCAAATCAAAACCACAATGAGATACCATCTCACACCAGTTAGAATGGTAATCGTTAAAACGTCAGGAAACAACAGAAGCTGGAGAGGATGTGGAGAAATAGGAATGCTTTCACACTGTTGGTGGTAGTGTAAACTAGTGCGACAATTGTGGAAGACAGTGGCAATTCCTCAAGGATCTATAACTAGAAATACCATTTGACCCAGCAATCCCATTACTGGGTAAATACCCAAAGGATTATAAATCATGCTATTATAAAGACACATGCACACATATGTTTACTGTGGCACTATTCACAATAGCAAAGACTTGGAACCAACCCAAATTTCCATCAATGATAGACTGGATTAAGAAAATGTGGCACATGTACACCATAGAATACAATGCAGCTATAAAAAGTATGAGTTCATGTCCTTTGCAGGGAGATGGATGCAGCTGGAAACTATCATTCTAAGGAAACTATCACAGGGACAGAAAACCAAACACCACATGTTCTCACTCATAGGTGGGAATTGAACAATGAGGGCACTTGGACACAGGGCAGGGATCATCACACCCTGGGGCCTGTCATGGGGTAGGGGGAGGGGGGAGGGATAGAATTAGGGGAAATACCTAATGTAGATGATGAGTTTATGGGTACAGCAAACCAACATGGTTCATGTATACCTATGTAACACACCTGCATGTTGTGCATATGTACCCTAAAATGAAAGTATAATAATAACAAAAAAATGCACAACTACATGGAAACTGAACAACTTGTTTCTGAATGACCATTGGGTAAATAACAAAATTAAGGTAGAAATAAATAAGTTATTTGAAACCGATGAGAACAAAGACACAACACACCAGAATCTCTGGGACACAGCTAAAGCAGTGTTTAGAGGGAAATTTATAGCACTAAATGACCACAGGAGAAAGTGGGAAAGATTTAAAATCTACACCCTTACATCACAATTAAAAGAAGTAGAGAAGCAAGAGGAAACAAATTCCAAAGGTAGCAGAAGACAAGATGTAACTAAGATCAGAGAAGAACTGAAGTAAATAGAGACACGAAAAACCCTTCAAAAAATCAGTGAATCCAGGAGCTGGTTTTTTGAAAAGATTAGCAAAATAGGTAGACTGCTAGCCAGACTAATAAAGAAGAAAATAGAGAAGAATCAAATAGTCACAATAAAAGACGTTAAAGGGGAGCTCACCACTGATCCCACAAAAATACAAACTACCATCAGAGAATACTATAAACACCTCTATGAAAATACACTAGAAAATCTAGAAGAAATGGATAAATTCCTGGACACATACCCCTCCCAAGACTAAACCAGGAAGAAGTCAAATCCCTGATGAGAACAATAACAAGTTCTGAAATTGAGGCAATAATTAATAGCCTACCAACCAAAAAAAGCCCAGGACCAGATGGATTCACAGATGAATTCTACCAGAGGTACAAAGAGGAGCTGGTACCATTCCTTCTGAAACTATTCCAAACAATAGAAAAAGAGGCACTCTTCCATAACTTATTTTACGACGCCAGCATCATCCTGATTCCAATACCTGGCAGAGACACAACAAAAAATGAAAATTTCAGGCCAATATCCCTGATGTACATTGATGCCAAAATCCTCAATAAAATACTGGCAAACCAAATCCAGCAGCAGATTAAAAAGCTCCTCCACCATGATCAAGTCGGCTTCATCCCTGGGATGCAAGGATGGTTCAACATATGAAAATTAATAAATGTAATCCATCACGCAAACAGAACCAATGACAAAAAAGCACATGATTATCTCAATAGATGCAGAAAAGGCCTTCCATAAAATTCAATACCTATTCATGTTAAAAATTCTCAGTAAACTAGTTACTGATGGAACATATCTCAAAATAATAAGAACTATTTATGACAAAACCAGAGCCAATATCAACTGAATGGACAAAAGCTGGAAACATTCCCTTTGCAAACCAGCACAAGACAAGGATGCCCTCTCTCACCGCTCCTATTCAACATAGTATTTGAAATTCTGGCCAGGGCAATCAGGCAAGAGAAAGAAATAAACAGTATTCAATTAGGAAAAGGAGAAGTCAAATTGCTCTGTTTGCAGATGACATGTTGTATATTTAGAAAACCTCATTGTCTCAGCCCAAAATCTCCTTAAGCTGATAAGAAACTTCAGCAAAGTCTCAGGATACAAAATCAATGTGCAAAAATTACAAGCATTCCTATACACCAATAATAGACAAACAGAGAGCTAAATTATGACCAAACTCCCATTCACAATTGCTACAAAGAGAAAAAATACTAGGAATACAACTTATTCCTAGAGGGATGTGAAGGACCTCTTCAAGGAGAACTACAAACCACTGCTCAACAAAATAAGAGAGGACACAAACAAATGGAAAAGCATTTCATGCTCATGGATAAGAAGAATCAGTATCGTGAAAATGGCCATACTGCCCAATGTAATGTATAGATTCAATGCTATCCCCATCAAGCTACCATTGACTTTCTTCACAGAATTGGAAAAAAACTAATTTAAATTTCGTATGGAACTGAAAAAGAGCCTGCATAGCCAAGACAATCCTAATTAACAAGAACAAAGCTGGAGGCATCATGCTACCTGACTTCAAACTACACTATAAGGCTACAGTAACCAAAACAGCATGGTACTGGTACCAAAACAGATGTATAGACCAATATAAGAGAACAGAGGCCTCAGAAATAACAACACAAATCGACGACCATTTGATCTTTGAATTTATATAACATATAATTTATATATATATTTCTTTATATGTTTATATATTATAATATATAGTTTATATATAATAAATTGTGTCTCCAAATTTAAGCTAGGTGAATTAATTCAAATTAGTGAACCACAATAGACATCTCTAGTACATTGCAATGAAAATTTTTGGTACTTAGAGGTAATCTTGTGATTAAAGTTGTGAGAAATAGAAAACACCTACCTGGTGAGAAAGACATTTTAAAAGGTAGTGCAGAAGCCTACAAAACCTAATAAATTTTTTCTCAGTTTTTCCTTACTTTTCTAAAAATATGTTTTAAAACATTCTATGAAGGATAAATGCACATTGGCTCACTGTGATTTAACCTATATAACATATTGCTATTCATGAGGTGAGTAGATCCTCCAACATGTTCCTTGGGGATGAATTTGTCCTTCCTTTTAATCTTTATGAAGTTAAGATTTGTTTAAACATACTATAAAGCAGGAATCATGATTTGTGCTGAACCCTAAACTCGTAGGATGTACTATCTAGGCAGTACTTTTGAACTGTGATGGTTGAATATGATTTATATATTAAATTCATATTTATTTATATGTTTATATATTATATAGTTTATATATGTATTTTATATATAAATATTATATGTAATTATATATTAAATATATATAATTATATATAATATATAAGTATATAGTTTATACATAATATATTTTATATATAAATATTATATATAATTATATATTAAATATATAATTAAATATATAAACAAATATATATAGTTTATATATGATATATAAACATATAAATAAATATGAATTTAATATATAAATCATATTCAACCATCAAAGTTCAAAAGTACTGCCTAGATAGTACAACCTACTAGTTTAGGGTTCACTACGAATCATGATTCCTGCTTTATAGTATGTTTAAACAAATCTTAACTTCATAGAGATTAAAAGGAAGGACAAATTAATCCCCAAGGAACATGTTGGAGGGATCTACTCTCCTCTTCAATAGCAATATGTTATATAGGTTAAATCACAGTGAGCCAATGTGCATTTATCCTTCATAGAATGTTTTAAAACATATTTTTAGAAAAGTAAGGAAAAACTGAGAAAAAATTTATTAAGTTTTGTAGTCTTCTGCACTACCTTTTAAAATGTCTTTCTCACCAGGTAGGTGTTTTCTATTTCTCACAACTTTAATCACAAGATTACCTCTAAGTACCAAAAATTTTCAGTGCAATGTACTAGAGATGTCTACTGTGGTTCATTAATTTCAATTAATTCACCTAGCTTAAATTTGGAGACACAATATTTCTTGAGAGAATATAAACTTAAAAAATTATAATATTCTCACTAATAATCATGAATCATTGTAAACATTGAATTCAACGTATACCTACCTGCATAGTAAAATCTTCTATAAATTCCAGAAATCATTTTTTAAAAAGGGATGAGAAGTAAAAAAATACCTCTATGTTTCATTTTAAAAATCTGAGGACACCTTTGAAATACATATTTAAGATAAAAATCCTATTCAAACATCAAAGTTCAAACTTACTGCCCAAATACCAAAATTTGGCCTACATTTGCAATTAGCCAAAAACTATAAATAACCAAAATACCATCATATGGTAAATAGTTGAAATATTTTATATGTCAATACAATGAAAGAATACTCAGCAATGAAAGAAACAGACTACTTGTGTAAGTAAAAATACAAATCAATATAAAAAATTTGTACCTCTAAAAGAAGCCAGCAAAATAGGGTACATATGGATGATTGCAATTAAGTCAATCTATAGAAAAACAAAATTAAATCTGTGGTGATAAAATACGAATCACACATTGACTGGCACTGAGATTTGGGTATAGGCATTGACTGGGACAAGGCATGAGAAAACTTTTACAGATGGCTGAAATATTCAAAATTATTATCCTGAAAATATTACAATTCTTTACACAATTACATGAAGATATGCATTTTTCAAAAAATCTATGGCATTAAAAGTGTGTATTTTATTTCATGTATATTAAAAAGCTTGATTAAAAAAGCATAACATGCCACACACACACACAAACATGCATCAAAATAGCTAAACTAAAAGGAAATTAAAATACAAAAAACGAGATTCTCACAGATTGATGATAAAGGTAGAAATTAGTACATCAACTTTACACTGTTTGGATATATCTTATGAAGCTAAATATATGCGTACTCTCTGGCTCAATGTTTACACTCCCAAATATATAATCAACAGAAGGGAGATCATACATTCACCAAAATACATGGAAAAGAATGTTTATTGTACCACTAACTATATTCACCAAAATCTAGAAACAAGCCAATTGCATGTCAACTGTGGAAAGAATAAATGCATCATGGTATATTCAATGAAATTTAGTACTATATAACAATTAGAATAAACAACCTGCCACTCTACTCCACAGCATGTATGTATATTATAAACTTAATGGTGCCTATTTTTAAAAAGACAGAAATAAAATAACAATATATATTCTACTTCATATAAAGCTCAAAAACTATTTTATAACAGGCTGAATAATTGTTACACACAGCAGGGTAATAATAACTGCAGGTGGGCACACAGGCAATTTTTGTATGTTGCTTCTGAGCTGAATTTATACAGCTGAATACACTGAATGGAGTGTATTTGTTTTTGGATAATTCATAGAAATATACAATTACTAATTGTGCACTTTCTATATGTAGATTATAATTTACAGTTCAATAAAATGTTTGCTAAAACAAACTAGCAGTGCTTCACACATTCAAAGGGAGGTGAGACTAGTGTATATCACTGTTTTTTGAGAAACTTGTCTGTCTTACTAAGTGAACCTTCTTGAAGTCTGTATTTCCAGAAGTATTTGAAGAAAACTTAATAAATTCATTCCAGAAAAGTGTTTCATAGCATATTTGGGAACATTCTGTGTTAAAGTACATTTGTTTATAGTCTGCAGAATTTTAATTAGTATCTAATAGTTAATATGCACTTAGATTTTAAATAGATAATGCATTTATTATGGAAAATATTATTTTCTAGAGAATGCCTGGAAATATATATTATAAGCAGCTGCTGTAAAGCATTTTTCTATTGTCTGGGCTTAGTAGCCTGTATAAGCATAAACACCATAAATTCCATTCAGAATGTCTGTCACATTACTGTCCAAATAAGATGATATATTTTGCTTTATTGTTATGATTAGTGTTAAAAAATAGATGATGTTATTTTAGATGAAAAAAATCTACTTTAGGGTTAAATACCAACTGTATCTAATAAGGTGTTTTTCAGCGAGTTTCAAGAATAGGCTTTCCCTAGTAACCAGTTCTTAAGATCACACAGAAGATGGCATACCTGGCAAAGGAAGGCCAGACATTCCTGTTCATAGTGAACAGCTATGATTAAAGTATTTCTCTTAAATAGAATTATGATGAATAAATAGAAGGGAATCTTTTATTCAGTTACAATGGAAATTTAATCTATAAGAATCTGGAAAATTATTATCTTTCAGAGTTGTTTGAATTATACTGATAAATGAAGTAAAATCATTTTTAATTGAAAAGATCTTTGAAAGCTAGAAATGAAACCAATTTGTTAACCATTATTTATACTAGTGTTTACCACAAACCAGTACATTCTACCTTTAAAAGTGAATAGTGCATCACCATTTAAACAATTTTTTAAAAAATAAACAGAGATGGGGTTCTCTGTTGATCAGGCCAGAGCACAATCATTGTCTGCTGCAGCCTTGAACCCCTGGGCTCAAGTGAGCCTCCCATATTAGTTTCTCAAGTAGCTGGGACAACAGGCATATACCACCATGCCTGTATGAAACAATTTTATTAACAAAAATTACTTTAAATAACTAAGCATATCTACTTGAATATGTCAGGTTTTTTTTTTTATTTGAAAAATCTTCACAAAAATTTAGAGATAATTGTAACCTGGATAATTAAAAAAAAACAAAAACAAAAACAAAAACTAATTGTCTCCTTTACTTTACTTCGTATATGGCAAAATAAAAAATATTTTGGGTTACTCAGTGACTTTCCAGAAAATCCCAGTATATTTTGAATGCAAATGATATTTTAACACTTTTATTTATCAAAATTTGAGACTTGAATATAAACAACACAATATAAATGTGATCAGAACTGACTTTTTACAGAAAAAAACTAAAATTAGCTAACCTAGCTACTTCATAAATCAATATACCAATATGACATTTAACATAAACATATCAGAAGTTAGCACTGAACCATTAATAATTTTTCTCTTCATGCAGTGAAGGATCCTGGTTGTTTTACTTCAAATTGTTTAGAAGACAAAACATAAAACAGCAGTAATTGACACAACAATTGAACATATTCATACAGGCAAATGACGTTTTTGTTTTTTGAACTATTTTTCAGAACTATGAAAATTAATACTAGCAAATACTTCTTTTAATTTCTAATAGCATCAAAAACAATGAAACACTTATAGATAAATTTAACAAAGAAGTACAAAATATGTATACCAAGAACTATGAAACATTGTTGAACAAAATTAAAGAAAATTTAGGTAAATGGAAAGTCATATTGACTTAATGAAGTTGAAAACAGTA